>NC_000005.10:89806776-90109807 GCF_000001405.40 Homo sapiens
ACAAGAACAGAAAACCAAACCCCCCATGTTCTCACTCATAGGTGGGAGTTGAACAATAAGAACATATGGGCACAGGGTGGGGAACATCACACACCAGGTCCTGTTTGGGGGTGGGGGTTAGGGAGGGATAGCATTAGGAGAAATACCTAATATAAATGACAAGTTGATGGGTGCAGGAAACCAACATGGCACATGTATACCTATGTAATAAACTTGCACATTGTGCACATGTACCCTAGAACTTAAAGTACAAAATAAATAAATACATAAAAATAATGACTAGCTGGTAGAAGAAAAAATAGTCCACCCATTTTGTGTAAATGTAGAGTCAGCCTAGTATATGAGCATCAGATCTAGATTGAGTCTTGTTGCCAGAAATGACGACAATCCTGCCATTTCACTTCAGATTCTTAAAGATTTCTCCTCACTCTCCCACATTTATTGAAATTTCAGGGCTGAGCAGTGGAAAGGATTCCTTCTTAACTGTTGGAAAACCAACAATAAAACTCGAGCATCCATTCCAAGACAGACATGTCTGCTAAGAGATTAATGAAGAACTGCTGTGCAAATGCATCTGTTTTCATCGGCTAGTCATTTTGGTGCATGTCAACCTTAAACAGAGACTTGGTGGAGTAGCCTCCATAGACCATCTCAGTCACATGATTCTTGCATAGCAATTGCACAAGTTCATGGGATCCTAAAAGTCAATTTTACTCATTTAATCATATAGCAGAAAATAGATTGTAAGGTTTCTTCACCAAACAACAACAACAAAAAAAAACAACAAAAAAACAAAACAAAACAAAAAACCAAAAACAGTAAGTCTTGTTGTTCATACTGAGAATATTTGTATTCCAACTGGGTAATTATAGTTAAATAATGGATCATCTGTACTTATTACTCCCTTCTTTTTTTTCTTTTTCTCTCAGTGCTCTTCTCTGCTTCTAGTATTTGTGGTGTGTGTGTGTGTGTGTGTGTGTGTGTGTGTGTGTGACAGAGAGAGAGGTGGGGGGGAAGAAGGGAGAGGGAGAAGTGAAGAGAAGACAGAGAAAGATAGTGTTCTTCATCTCTTAACCTGTAGGGCATTTTTGCTGTTAAAGCAAAACCAATTTACAAACTGCTTTAGTAACTCCACAGTCTCATTGATTCAACATAATAAAGGTTTATTTCTCACTCACATCAGGGGCTAAGTGAAGTAGCATTTTGGGGAATAGTGGATTGAGGAGAGGGTGCTGCATGACATTCTGCTCCATGTAATCATTCAAAAACCCAGCCCTCCTCCCTCTATGTCTCATGATTCCACCCTCTTACAAGCTCCCAGAGTTCTCTTATTTCAGCCAGCATATAGAGAATAAAGAAAGGGGTCACATGGGGTGTTTCTGCTCTAGGACTAGAAGTGAACACATCACTCTCACTCATATTCTATTGGTTAGACCTCTGTTCATGGCCACAACTAACTACAACAGAGGCTGAAAATGTACTTTAATGTGTGCCTAAGAGGAAGAGGAGAACATGGATGTTTATAAGCAATAGCAGTCTCTGCCACAGTTTGCTCCAAATACTGCTTGTCAGACAACTCAAGTCTCAAGCAGGCACTGAATTTGACTCAAAGTTCAGCCTCTCTGGGTGATGCACACTCTTTGTTTCAGGTACGATGTGATTCCTCACTGTCTGGTGACCTACCCACTGAAAAGACAAGTTGTCTGTCTCTTGCTACCTCCAATATATTATGATGGACCTTGAAAGGGATAAGTACAGTAGAAACATCTGCTTAGAAAAAGGTAGAATGTGAAACTCATCAGTCACCCTCCATACTAATTCTAAAATCCCACTGGATGGGATTTACCCCAAGGATGGATAAGTTTCTTGATTGGATTCTAATTCCATTCTCCGGGAAGGACTTCTTTATATATTGCTTTATGTCACTTCTAACCCTGTCTTTTTTTTCCCACTGTCTGATAACATCTAAATTGGGCCTGACCAACACTGCCCTTCTTGAATCTTTAGAGATTTTTTGCCTTTCCCATAAACATAGGCCAGCACTTTCTGCTGGTGTAAATATCATGGCCAGAAGCTGCATGCAAAATTCTTCCCTAATAATCATTAATTTTTTTTTTTTGCTTCCTTCCCAATAGTCCTGTGCTCCCCCTAACTTAATGATGACTCCCTTGATGTCATCGTGTTCAGTCTGAGCATTGCTTCGTGGCTGAGTCTTAATGAGTTATTGTCTCCCAAAGACTTTTTAATCATATTTCCTATTGTTTGAGGTCTAGAACCAGTCATCTTTTCTAACCATTCAAAACTGCAAAGTTCTGGAGTCTTTCTATTTTCTTTCATTGCTTCTAGCAAACTAGGCAATTATTGTTTGAGCGTCCCTCTTATAACAACTTACCAAAAGGCAGCCAATAATGTTATATCCATACTAACATTCTGAGAATTTCCAATCACTTCCTTTGAGTTATAGGCTTAGGGGTATGTGGTCAGCCTTCCAGGTGATCTCTGGTAGCAGTTTAACCAAATGTTTTACCACAACAGAAAGGACTCTCCTACCTCATAGCCTCTTGGTATGTTTTCTTACAGTTTGCCTACCTACTGTTAAGCCAGTCCCACAAAACTTAAAAATTTGTGCTTATGGCAGCAATAATATTTGTTGCTGTGATAAACATATCTAGAAATCTCAGTGACTTAAGACAATATAAGCTTATTTTTCATCCATGTCACAGTCCAATATAGGGGGCAGTGAGAGAGGGAGATGGGTAATCCACAATCATTCTGAGACCTTTGCGCCTTACGTTTGTGGCTCTGTACTCTTCTAGCTTCCCAGAGTCTTTTTCAGTCAGTCAGTGAACATGGGAAGAGAGAGAGTGTGTGAAAGAGGGAGGACCTCACATGGCTTATGTCTGGGACCTGAAACTAAGGTGGAATGCTTGAATTTCACACACACTCTCTTGGCTGGAACACAGCCATACCTACCTTCACTGAGCATGGAAAATGGATTTGTGTGCCTTCTAGAAAGAAACACGAATATAGGTCAGCACGGTGAGCACCAGCAGTCCCTGCCATAGACATCTTTTTCCAAAGCACCCCTTTCTTGAGACTCTTTTCTTCTATTTAGCCAAAAAGTGTTTCAATAAATATACAAATATGAAAATCTAAAATGCTAACAAAATGCCCTTCATTTCTGCCAGCAATACTGTCACCTACAGTTATTCCCTGCATTACGTTCACAGCTAAAAGCTGTGACCCTGGATGGGGGTGGGAGGGTGGTTGGGGAAGTGAGGGAAACTTTCTGAAAAACAACAAAATGATGAGCAGCATTGCAACAATTTAAGAAAAAATACTGGAGGGTCACAATGTTTGTCTCTATGTTAGGTAGCTTAGTAGACTAACATAACAACAACATTTATGTACCTAAATGTTAGAAAACAAAACTTTTGCCCTGCGTGTGAAGAAAAATCTACATGACCTTCTGCTTTGGATCTATATTTGCCTATAAAACAATAAACATATTAGACCACTTTTATTTGTGAAGACTAGTCTACTTTCATTTGTTAAAAATTGTCTTGGAAAAAAAATTCTTTCCCCAGAATTCTCACTTCTAGATTCATGCCCTGTATAACCCTTTTCACTTGACCTGTGAATATAATTGAATAGTTTCTTCCTTGGTGAGGTTGAGTTATAGAAGTATCACTTCTGTGAACTTTCACAGGTTATAGAAGATTCTATCTTAGCTGACTGAAGAGAGAAATTCTGCTGATGTTGATGAGGCAAACTGCAAAGCTGTGGAGAGGGCCACATGGCAGGGGATGGCTGGTGGCTTCTATCCTCAGTTGGCAGCCAACAAGAAAGCAGTGACTTGAGTTCCACAGGTGCAGGGAACTAAATTTTGCCAACAACCAGTGATCTAGGATGTGGACTGTAAGTCTCAGAAACAATGGTAGCTCTCACCAATACCTTGATTTCTGACCTTCAGAACTGTGAGATAATACATTTGTGTTGTTTCAGCTGCTAAATTCATGGTAATTTGTTTTGGCAACAATAGAAAACTAATATAGTAAGTAAGCCTATATCATATAGATACACAGTAGATAATATATTGGCTTTTATTATTAAATGATAAATTGGGGAAATAATGTACAACCGTGAAATACAACCATGGACTAAGAAATACCTGTCTTTTATACAAGAAAACAATATAAGATTATTATTTCTTCTTTTTTGTCAGTGTTATAGCAAGGGCAACATAGCAAGGGCTGTGGTTAGTAGCCTACTAAGTGTAATTTCAAGGAAAAAATAATATTCCAAAGTCCTAAATTTCTTAGATGTTCTCATTTGCAATCATTAGCAGTTACTGAGCACCTACAATGTACAATAATCTTAGGCTATTTTATTTAATCTTCTAAAATCTCTGCAACTTAGCTTTTTAAAATCCCATTTTGCAGATTAGAAAGCTGAGGCTTACAGGGTTTAGTAATTTGTTTGAAGATACACATGTTGATAAAAAATACTCAAGAATCAAATTCAATCTGTTACATTCCAAATTATTGATCTTTCTGTTGCACTACTTTTTTGTTCACATTGTCAATAATAACACTATAAGAACTTTTTTAAAAAATTATTATTATACTTTAAGTTTTAGGGTACATGTGCACAATGTGCCGGTTAGTTACATATGTATACATGTGACATGCTGGTGTGCTGCACCCATTAACTCGTCATTTAGCATTAGGTATATCTCTTAATGCTATCCCTCCTCCCTCCCCCCACTGCACAACAGTCCCCAGAGTGTGATGTTCCCCTTCCTGTGTCCATGTGTTCTCATTGTTCAATTCCCACCTATGAGTGAGAACATGCGGTGTTTGGTTTTTTGTCCTTGTGATAGTTTACTGAGAATGATGATTTCCAATTTCATCCATGTCCCTACAAAGGACATGAACTCATCATTTTTTATGGCTGCATACTATTCCGTGGTGTATATGTGCCACATTTTCTTAATCCAGTCTATCATTGTTGGACATTTGGGTTGGTTCCAAGTCTTTGCTATTGTGAATAGTGCCGCAATAAACATACGTGTGCATGTGTCTTTATAGCAGCATGATTTATAGCCCTTTGGGTATATACCCAGTAATGGGATGGCTGGGTCAAATGGTATTTCTAGTTCTAGATCCCTGAGGAATTGCCACACTGATTTCCACAATGGTTGAACTAGTTTACAGTCCCACCAACAGTGTAAAAGTGTTCCTATTTCTCCACATCCTCTCCAGCACCTGTTGTTTCCTGACTTTTTAATGATTGCCATTCTAACTGGTGTGAGATGGTATCTCATTGTGCTTTTGATTTGCATTTCTCTGATGGCCAGTGATGATGAGCATTTTTTCATGTGTCTTTTGGCTGCATAAATGTCTTCTTTTGAGAAGCGTCTGTTCATATCCTTTGTCCACTTTTTGATGGGTTTTTTTTTTTTCTTGTAAATTTGTTTTGAGTTCATTGTACATTCTGGATATTAGCCCTTTGTCACATAAGTAGGTTGCAAAAATTTTCTCCCATTTTGTAGGTTGCCTGTTCACTCTGATAAGAACTTTGATTTAAGTCTTCTATCAAAATTAAAACACAAATGGGAAATGACTATAATTACTCGATGGGAAATGATTAATGGTAAATGACTAACAATATTGTTTATCTTAATGTGAATTAGAAACTGGTTTTGGAATCATCAACAAATTATATACACATAGCATCTTCATGTAAAAATTTTTATTGTGTTTTCAGGAGAATTCCGTGAGGTAGGTTGAGTGGGTATTATTAGTTTACCTATTTTATAGATAAGATAACTGAGGCTCAGAGTGTTTCCAGCTTGCCATTGGCCATGACACCGAGCGACAGTATTAGGTGTCAAGCTCATGTCTTCTCTTGAAATACAGAGCTTGTTTGTCTGCAGTGGGACAGATATGTGAGGCTGGGTTGGCAGGGAAGAAGAGTACAGAGAAGGTGCTAATAAGGAACACAAAAATCAATCAACCTGCCTCTTAATTCTCCAAAGATCAGCTCCAGTGATGACTAGTCTACAAGACTAACACACCAACAACATTTGTGTACCTAAATATTAGAAAACAAAACTTTTGCCCCGCTTGTGAAGAGAAAATCTACACGATCTGCTGCTTTGGATCTATATTTGCATATAAAAGAATAAGAACATTAGACCACTTTTATTCGTGACGATTAGTCTACTTTCATTTGATAAAAATGTCTTGGAAAAAAAATTCACAGAGCTATTCTAGAACTTAACCATTAATGTTCTTCTTTATGTGGACTCTATTTTTCCACATCTGTTCATCTAACACTGTTTATGGAAATATAAAATGATCACAACTAGAAACAACTTTCTCTATTGCAGTGATTAACACTCTCTAATGACACTGATAAGAATAGTGTTCAATTATATTTGTATCTTGCTAGTAAGTTTTGGTTAATATCACAAGACCTGTGATAATATTATGGATGTAAATCCTATTTCTAACAAGTGTCAAGGCATAGCCCAATGCACCATCAATAATGCTGTCAATTAATTGTCAATTACTAGTGCCAAGGTAAAGCCGAGCTGTTTGTTTTCGGAGCAAACAGTTGAGAAGATTGTGTCAATTATAAATCTCTCACGTCCTTCCATATTAAGTGTCTTACTAGAGGTTGCACAGTCATTAATGTCTTACAAAGCAAAGCCTTTGCAGCGATTGTTTAACAGCTATTTTGCAATTATAAGGAGCTCAAACAAAATTAGAATCCACAATTATTTTTGTAATGAATTAGAAATATAAAAATACATGTAACTCTCTGGATTTCAAAGCATGCTTAATTCCCCTTAGCTTCTCCTGGAGTGAAGGGTTAATTTATTAAGGAATGCAGTATGATTACTGTAATTATTGTATATTGGTTCTTGATAAGGGGGAATAACTTTCTTGAGTTTTAACTTCAGCAGGGGTATACCTCTTTGTAATTTTCTTAGGGGTTGAGAAGGTACATTTTTGTCTCATGCACTAAAATGCTGTGGATACACTTAACTTTAACTAATAGTCTTTTTAAATAATTAAATTAGGTAGTCTTAATTTATCACTAAGAAACAATAAATGTATTTTGGATTCAGAATATTAATCCTTAGGAGCGACTATTTTCCCCTCACTGTCATATAATTATTTTAGCCTTACTGTAATACATATAATAACAAAATTCAATAAAAATTTAAATGCTATTATTACCTTGCTTATTTCAGTGCATGGAGTAATTAATCAGCTACAAGCTTGATAATACAGTAAGTGCTATCTTGATAACACAACCTCCCCACCCCAAAAAATTTTTTAAAATCTTGGATCATGTATACTGATTAAAAAATGCTGCAGAACACACAAATCATAGACAACCTATGTCCCCAACAGAAATTACTATCAGTTTAATTTGAACTTTAATTTAGAAGCCTATGTACCCTTTCCTCAAATGCTCCTTTTTGGAGAAGCTGCCTTGGACTACCCTATTTCCATTATCCTTTCCAGTTATGCTTGGGCTCATCAACCCAGGCCATAGGCTTATGGCAGGATAAAATTTGCAATCATTACTTAAAAAAAAAGTATGCTCATGTTTATTATCTGATGCTCCCTCTAGAATATAAACACCAGAAATCTGTCATACCCACCTCTGTATTTCTAGTGTCGTATATAGGCATGCTGTATGGTACTTTTTAGTAAATACATGCTGAATGGATAAACTAACAAATTAATGAATAAAGGTTTGTGGGCCCAGCTTTTGCAATCAGCCATCGGTCTACAGAAGTAGCAACTGTGGAGCCTGTAATGAATATTCTGTAAAAATAAGAATCTGTCACTTCTGGAATTCTACTGATCAGCTTCTACCATAAGGCATGTCTGAGAGCACCTGGGCAATAAGGGCAGAGGTACATCATTCATTAAACGCACATCAGAGACTGGCTGGAAAATAATGCACTATCATATCATGAAGCTTGTTACCAGTTGAAGCAGAAGCACAAGCCATCATAGGATCTAAAATGGCAGCCTGGGGTGCAATCCAAAGAATATCTTTACATGCTGAGAATATAAAAGAACTACTGATCATGAATCTCTCTACTCAGTTCTGTCTTCACATAAAATGGAAAATACATAGGCTAACTTCAAGCCTGACTCATCTTTGAGGAAATTCTCAAGAAAGAGCCCAAGGAATAAATAAAAGTTGATTTAATGTAATTTTATTATCTTTCCATGTGAATCCATTTTCCTGGAATATTTCTAGTCTTTCTGATAGAGAATTTGCCATCAAACAAGATTAAGGAACCAGGAAAGTTCAGATTACAGATTCATGGAGAGATCTATGAAAGATTTGCATAAAACCAATAGTGCCAAATGATAAGGAGACATTGAAGAGAGCCATTACCAAATATGATCTCTTCCTGCTTGGATCCTAAACAGCTCCCTCCTAATGGCCTTTAGTGTCTATTTCATATTAGAGACATGTGTTTGTCTTATTTCCCCATGATTCTGTTGTCCCCGAAGGTGGTTCTTGTACTTACCCCCAAATGTGTTATTGGACTATGTTGTCTTATGCTGGGTGCACACTAAGTAGTAGCTGAATTATGTTGCAATCTCCTTTACTGTTTGGTTTTCCAAATAAATATAGAAAGCCATGTACTATTTTAAAAATCATTGGTTATGAGAGTATAATCAAAACTCATTCTTTTATTTTTATTTTTCCCTGCCCATTTCTGTATAGTAGCTAGGAAGTATACATGATTAGCACATTTCAGAACAAGGCCACTTAGAATGAACGATTAGAAAAACAGAACAAAAACTAGCCCAAAATACTAATTATACACCTTATAGCACTTACAGGTTGTATAGCACTTTGTACTGTGTGACAAGCCATATAGAATGTAGTATCCATTTCACACATGGAACTATCCTCAAAACTATTATGTATATTTTATAAATTAAAACTATTGTCAAAATCATCATGTATATTGTATGAATTTAATTTAAACAAATGAGCCTAATATGGGGCCACTGGAAATACATATGTATTCAATGAAAGACAAAAGTTTAAAACTCTATAATAGAAATTTATTTGGAAAAGCAAAGACAGAATACAAAATTTTACAATTTACAATTACACACTATTTTTGTGGTACAGAAAAACCAGTTAACAACTTTCCACTGCCATTTGGACACCAAAATGGACTGACCCAGGCAAGGAGAAAAGAGCTAGTTGAACATGTTATATGAAAGAATTAGAAAAGCTAGAATTTTAAAGTTTCCTTCAGCAACTAGTCTACAGTAACTCACAGATTACTAAAAACTTATGCAAGTTTTATATGCCTATTCCATCTGCTCTTCATTAAAAAAAAGTGTTGCCATAGCAACTGCCACATGCCATGGTATTTATGCTGCATCTGATGTACAAAGCATAGCGTGTGTAGGAAGGAGTGTGTGTATGTACATGATGTGGCAGCTGTCCTCTCTGCCATTTTGTTGCTGCTCTAGAATTAAACAAGTAGTGGTTATGAATACTCATTTGAGTAGTGATACTAGTGTTCATTTAACTAAATCGTCACCAAAAAAAATCTTTATCTAATCATCACACTAGTCTGCTGACATGAGTTATTCAAAAGGGCTTGTATTAGACAGCTGTTTAAAAAGAAAATCTATTTTTTATCCCTTTTTTTAAGGTAGACACAATACAACTGATGTTCTTATTTCTAAAACAGCTAGTGACATTTTTTGTTTGAAATTATAATATACATCAGTCATACAAAATAATGGCATTTATCCCTCAGTAAGATCCTCTGCAATAATCTTTCAAAAGATATTTTTGTTCCATTGTTTTCACATAATTTACTTCATATTCAAATTGCTAGAATTCTATTGGACATCAGATAGAGCTTGGAAATCATCGTAGACACTAGGGACATAATTCTCTACCCTCTACTCTTGCTAAATCCTACTATATAGGCTAGAATTGCTAAATACTTGCTTTACCATTATCTTGAAAAAGCTAAATGCTTAGAATTTGAGCTTCCCTTGCAGCTAGAGGTGGCCAGGTGATGCCGTTCTGGCCAATGAGATGTAATTAAAAGTCCCTTGGGATGGTGTATTTTAGAAAGCATTTCACTAATGAGAAAGAGTGACAGATCCTACCAGCACTACCTCTTCTCGTCACTACAATTGGAGTCTGAACTATCAATTTGCAATGGGGTGATGAGCCTAGTAGAGTGAAAAGACAGAAGCAGCAGAAGCTTATTTGGCAGAGTGGAAATGCAGCATGAGCTTTGTCCTCCTATTGCCATACTGCCTCTTGTTTACTATAATTAAATGCCATTATTGTTTAGGCCACTGTTAATAGGATTTTCTGTTTCTCGCAGGTGAATATATTCTTGTCTGACACATAATGATTTATAATCTGCAAAGAATGTACGGTATTGTTATTTTATATTAATCAAATGAACTCTATTTCCTTTTGGAGATTATTTTGTTTGCCAAAAACATTGTATGTGATAAAGACAATGTATGCCATATATTGCATTTCATGCCCTTAATTCTTTCTTTGACAAAAACCCTGTGTTTCAATAAAATGGGTAAAATCCCAGGTTAAAAAACAAAAATAACTGAATATACCTAAAATTCCAGCCAAATTACAAATCAACATTTTTGAAGTTTTAAAAATTCAATTGAGACAGATTTTTTTTCCCCTGAGGTATTATTTGGCATTTTAAAACTCAATTTTGTTGGGACATTTTAACATCTCAAGGTAGCTTTTGAGGTTTGCAGCCTCACTAGGATCATTTCCCTTGAGAAAAATATTGACAATATGTGCTTTTTGATGACTAGCTGAACTTGATTACAGTTTCACGCCCAATTTTCAAAATGTTACATATAAATTCTGAAGGAAGACTATAGAACAAACAAACATTCAGCAGTAGGACTTCAATGGCATAAAAATCATCTAAGTTGAAGGTAGACATTTTTCTCCTTTTTGCCTTTGATAAAGTTGATATGATGTATTAAGCAATATATTACAGTAGTAAGAGTTAAAACCGTTTTAACACGTATCCAATATGAAAGAAAATTAATTAACTAGCAGTAAGCTGAGAGCACCCAATACAGGAAACTGAACACAATCTAGAGAATTCTCTAGCACACACTCTTCTATTGGCAAGACTTAACCTCTGCTCCTTCCCACCCTTCTCCTGCACCAACACCGGAAATCCAATCAGCCATAATGAGATCTTGTTAACTCTATAAATACTTTCCAATGCTAGGAAAATCCGAGGTGTTCTTTATTGTGTATTTGGAGGCAGTGAAGAGCAACATGAACAGAGAACAGATAGAAAGCAGATGGTTCACAGCCATAGTATACACATTGTTCCTCTAACTCTCATGTGTCCAAATTTCAAACTATTTGATTAATGACACGTAAGATGTACAGCCATGTAGTGATGACCAAAAACCAATAACATGTATTTTTGGAAGATGCTTATTTTTCTGAAATATTGCCCCCTTAAAAATGTGTTTTCAGCACAGATTGAATTGAAAAAACATATAAATAAATATAAATTTTAGTCTTAGTGAAAATACACATTCATTTAATTCATTCATTTGTATACCCATATAATCATTCATTTATTAATTCAGCAGAGGAACTGATCTCTTCATGAAAAGTACTGTAGCCCTGTTTAAATTATTCCTCTCCCTAAAAAATGATTATTCATTTTTTAAGGTATATTAAATAAATAATTTTGAAAGCTTAGAAAATCTTTAAACTCTGCTGCACATTTTAGTAAAAGTAGCATTTTTTTTGCTTTTCTGAAACCACAGCTCCAACAAGACTAAGCTAGTGAAGTAGATTATTTTTCTCATTCTATATTTATGTAATTTTATTCTAACCTAAATTTAAACGTTAAGAGAAAATTTCAGGGGGTGATATGAAACAGGTCATAATTTGTCAAAGCATCACCAACTTGTAATTCAGTATGGATTCACTGTTATAACTATTGCTGAAATTTTCTTTTGGATGTCCAAGCAAGAGCATGAAATATATATACATATATATATATGGAAATACATTAGCCAAGTTTATAAAAATCTCTCTCTCTCTCTCTCTCTCTCTCTCTCTCTCTCTATATATATATATATATATATATATATATATATATATATATATATATATCACTCTGTGTGTGTATATATATATCATACTACAGTATATATTGCCAGATGGAATTTCAGGTGCCTACATCATCACAGCTATTATTAAATTATCTTTTGTGATGATACCTCAGGTAGTCATGACTGTTATGCAACAGAGAGTTAGAGAAACATCTTCACTTTGTAAAGCTATTAAAATTTCTTGCAGGTGTGTTTGAGAGAAGCACAGCACAAATTCACTTGCACACTATGAGGATTAGAGACTTTGCAGCCCAACCACAAGGGGCAATTAACACAAACAGTGTGGCATAAGAAACAACTAGAGTTGCAAACTAAACAGAACTTACATTGCACTTGTAGCCTCCAATTATATTGCAAAGCACAGATGTTTATTCTACAAAATAAATGATATTGGCAGTCTTGGGCTACGAGATAATCCTATGGGGTCTGCCTTTCTAAATACCTACTTTCTATTGATCCTGCTTTTTCCCAAGTTTTCAAGATTGTTTTCTTTTTTCTCTCTGTGATGTGAGCTTATTAAAAATACGAAGAGCTTTATTCATCTACTTACAACTAGCATAAGCCTCAATATGCTACATCTGGAATAGAATTTCTTCCTTCAGTCACTTCAGCGAAAGGCAGATGGGGCATATTGATAAAAAATGCTCCTGAGGTCCATTTTCTTCCCAAATCTGTTTTATTTATAATCTGCTAGCTGTTAATCTTGATACAAATTAAAGTTCATTTCGGTTAGCCCCAACACCAGTGATCCAAGGAAAATCTGAGTTTCCCCCCGTTAGTGGTGCTTAAGTCTACCTATTTTTATAAGAAAACTTGAAATTCCTATTTTTTCTCTAAATTTCAAATTATCTTGTGAGTCATTTCAGAAGTAAGAACACCAGAGAAAATAGTTATGGCTGCCATACAACCTGTCATTTAAGAAAGCTGCATTAATCAATAACACCTGAGTAGTTCAATTACTGAATAAGAAAGGCAAAGAAATGAAAAAAAAGATTAATAGATCTTCCCCAAAATTAGACCTCTGAAATCAAAAAGGACTTGCAACCTGTGATGATTTGAAAAGACGATTAATGTTTAAGTTAATATGTAATTAACAAACCCCTTTATTTATTTTTTCCACCTACAGCAGCCAGTTTTACTGACAATTTTCCTGCTCAGAGAATTTTTCACCTTTGATTAATGATACTTAATAAAAATTCTAGCTAGTCACAATGAAAGGAAGAAGAGTCACTTGAACCAATGGTGAAGTGCCTTATAGAACTAGGCTACGAAAGGTTAATGGCATCATTACTCAGGTCTTTGGAGTACACATATCCCTCTTCAGAGTATATTAGGCTTGTTGGATGGTGCATTAACTCCTTCCAAACTCTAGGTCCCTTGAGAACTGTTTATTTTTAAAAGATAATTAATTAATACTTCTGTAATACAACCCATCTTTTCCCTTACATTATTTCTGGTTACTGTGATAACACATAATATAGAAGTAGAATGAATCATGTCCAAGAGGATGATAATAAAGAGGGAAAAAATTGCTTCGGAAAAAATTGCTTCAGAAAAACAAAACCCAAGTCCTAGGTCCACAAAACAAGTGTAAACAAATTGTAAAGGAAAAATGTTTTAACTATTTTGGACCCCCAGCCTTCCAAGAATGCTTCCTGAGAATATTCATAAAGGCTTCATACAAAGGAATGGACAATATCATGATAATGCCACAAAATTCATTAAGTTTTTTTCTTAAAACATTGCTTGATACAAACCATTTATACTCCACCATGGTACTACTTAGAAAAAAAAAATCTGTTAACAGTGAGGGAGACTACTTTGTTCATTAACCAAAGTTCATTGAGCACCTACTATTTCCCAGTTACTATTCTAGGTGCTTGGAATATGTCAATACACAGAATAGACTCCCAGAAATGCTCTTGGGAAATTTACATTCTTGGCAGGGGACTGGGGGGCAGTAGATAATAAAACAGAAGCATAAAAATGGGGAAAATTATAGTGTTAAAAAGTGAAAAACATAAAGAGACATCATTAGAATTGGTAAGAAGGAGAGTGGCAAGGTATGCTATTTCTGTAGGAAGAGTGGGTTTCTGTTTTAATAGGCTGATTAAGAAGGTTTCCATTGTGGAGGCTAACATTAACCTTATGCTCATCTGCTGATGATCATTTTGATTAGTTGGGCAGTACCTTTGTTGGCTGCCCATCTCTCTAGCCTCTAGGAATTCCAGAATCTATTATCCATCGATCTCAGAGGATCAAAGTTATTCTAGCCTTATTGATCATTAGAGTAATTACTCTGTTGATAGTTTCTTTTGCTGTGCATAAGTTTCTTAATTTAATTAGGTCCCACTAGTTCATTTTTGTTTTTGCTGCAGTTGCTTTTGGAGAATTAGCCAAAAATTTTTTGCCAATGCCAATGTTGAGAAGGGTATTTCCTAGGTTTTTGTCTAGGACTTTTATAGTTTGAGGTCTTAGTTTTAAATCTTTAATTTACCTTGAGTTTTTCTTTTTATATGGTGAAAGGAAGGGGTCCAGTTTTACTCTCCTGTATATGGTTAACCAGTTATTCCTGCACCATCTATTGAATAGGGACTCCTTTCTCCATTGATTGTTTTTGTCCGCTTTGTCGAAGACCAGATAGTTGTAGATAGGAGGATTTATGTCTCAGTTTTCTATTCTGTTCCCTTAATCTATGTGCCTGTTTTTCTACCAGCACCATGCTGATTTGGTTACTGCAGCCTTGCAGTATAGTTTGGAGTCAGGTAATGTGATTTTTTCTGGCTTTGTTCTTTTTGCTTAGAATTGCCTTGGCAATTCAGGCTCCTTTTTGATTCCATCTGAATTTTAGAATAGTTGTTTCTAATTCTGTGCAAAATGATGTTGGTAGTTTTGATAGGAATAGTGGTGAATCTGTAAATTGCTTTGGGCAGTAAGACCATTTTAATGACATTGATTGTTTCAATCCATGAGCATAGAATATTTTCCCATTTATTTATGTCATCTCTGATTTCCTTCAGCAGTGTTTTATAGTTCTTCTTGTAGATATCTTTCATCTCCTTGGTGAGCTGTATTCCTAGGTATTTCCATTTTTTTTGTGGGCTTTTGTGAATGAGATTGTGTTCTTGATTTTATTCTCAGCTTGAATACTATTGGTGTATAGAAACGCTACTGATTTCTGCACATTAATTTTATATCCTGACACTTTCCTAAAGTAATTTTCCAGTTCCAGAAGGTTTTGGCAGTCTTTAGAGCTTTTTAGGTATGGAATCATATTGTCAGCTAAAAGAGATAGTTTGACTGCTTTTCCTATTTTTATGTCTTTTATTTATTTATTTCTCTTGCCTGATTGCTATGTCTAGGACTTCCAGGACTATGTTGAATAGGAGTGGTGAGAGTGGGCATCCTTCTGTTTTTCCAGTTCTCAAGGGAAATGTTTCCAGATTTTGTGAGGCTCACTTTAAATTGGCCTTTACTAAGGTAAAATATGGAAACCTAGATAGAATTGGTAAAACCCGTCTTCTAAAATAAACATGAAGGAACAAAGCCAAAAATATCTTTTAGGTAACATCTCAGATAGGATACAGCAACTATATTGGTTCTTCGCACCTTTAAACATTTTTGTTCTTATAACCTATCTATGACTATACAACCGAAAGTAAAAGGTCTGATATGCTTACAATGTAAGGCTTTCAAAAATATGGGCTGTTGAGCAGCAAGACTCAGAGGAGAACCCCTGTGATATATTCCTGGTATAAACTGAATGTATGCATCTACTCAAATTTCATATGTTGAATTCCTGACATCCAATATGATGGTATTCCTAATACCATCACATACCCAAATACTATCACATACTCAAAGTGAGACCTTTGGTAGGAGATTAGGTCATGAGGGCAAAGCCTTTTGGTGCTCTTATGAAAGAAATTTCAAAGTTTTCTTGCCCCTTCTACCATGTGAAGACACAGTGAGAATATGGCTGTTTAAGAACCAAGAAGTGGGCCCTCACCAGACACTGAGTCTGCCAGTGATTTAATCTCAGACTTCCCAGCTTCCAGAACCATGGGAAATAAATGTCTGTTATTTATCAGCCACTCCGTTTATGGTGTTTTGTTATAACAGCCCAAACAGACTAAGACAATTACATGATGACAACTACCAAAGGAAAGTGAGGCATGGAGGGATGCCAGGGCCACTGGGCCCCAGAGCCTCCTACAGAGAGGATTGTGTGTCATGAGATGAGTCCAAACTGAAAATGGAGCCCTGGGCTCAAGCAGCTGAAAGTTCCATGCTTTGTTAGGAAATAAAAAAGGGTACATTTGAGGTCTTGAGGGCCTAGCCTTGAATGGTAGGAGACAAATGAGAAAGAATGGCAGAGTTGCTGGGCCTCATGGCCATTTACATATGAAAGGCAGAAACTGGAAAAGGGAGCAAGGAAGGATGAACGCCTTCAGATCTACTGTCATGAAAATTTAATTTACACATGGTTTGGTGATGGGAATGTTTGTTTTGATAGTACTATATCGTAAACCATTTATAGTCAGTTTTCTTAATGGGTTTTATCTAGCTATTGTCCTACATTTACATTTTCTGGTTTTTCTATTGCATCTTTCTATGGAAAATGAGAAAATATGAAGAAGGAAGGGCAAATTCGGAAAGATTTTGAATCTTAAAATGTTTTAAAGGAAATTCTACAAGTAAAAATGTGAAACTACCATATTTGTTTCGTGATCACTTATTAAATCTGCCTAAAATCACCTGAGCTGGATTTAGAATGTATATAGTCATTCCTCGTGTGATAAAACCAGTAAGAATTTATTGATAAAACCGTAGAGATCACTGACTGATTTGAATGTAGAAGAGCACAAAGACCTTAGCAGTTCATGAAGAATAGAATTTCCCTTAGATTCATTTCTTCTTTCTTAGAGAAGAAAAATTATTTCTGAGGATATCAAAAACATCAACAGCTACATTTTGTTTTTTAAGAGATGAACAGGGGTAACTCATGTCTTCTGAGTGCTCAGAAGATAACACGAATGTTACCCCTGTTCATCCTACACTGATGTGATCTTCTGAAGACTCAGAGGACATGAGTTACCTACCCCTTTTCACCTCTTTACCACCACCACCATCAGCCACTCCAAGACTTCCCTGGATACTTGTAGAAAAGGGTCAAGGGCAGTGGCTTCTGAATTCACCCCACACACTCATTCTCCCAGCTGAACACATTTCTCCTGCCTCCAGGACAGAGCATCAGGCATGAGGAATCATTGCAGCCATGACTCCCCATTTATGACTCAGTCTCTTTGAGATTCATACTTGCCCCAAAAGGTGCAGAAGAGTGCAATGAAAGAAAGATGAAGCGATCTTTTTTCTTGTCTCCAGAATAAAATTGCAGATGAGAGGCAAGGGTAGAAATGCCTGAAACACAACTGGCAATCCATTGTCAGAAGAAAGACTGAAGTGAATGAACACAAATCTATGAAAAGGCTTTTATTATCAGGCCCCACAAATACATTCTATTTGTAACTAATAAACATATTATTTAATATTTAATGTAATTGAGTTTATATTTTATCAAGCAGAACAGCATCACTCTCTTCGAGAAGCTTCTTGGTGATAAATTTTAAAATAATCAGTGTTCTTACTATGACCTAAGGGATTCATTCCATGGATTCTTACTGTTGATAGTAAGTATAGCATCCTTATGCTGGTGCTGGAACTCAGACTTGTCATCTTGAAGAAAGAAGATCTCCTAACTGATACTGGATACTTGAGTTTCTGTCACATTTAGTAACCACTGAAACTCAACAGTCTTCAGGGAGATCTCCATTTCCTCTCACAGCCAGCACTGGGCTGAAGGACAAGGTTGTCCATTGTCACAGAGACTGTGCTCTGTCTCCATCACCCTTCTGAATTGTTCAAGGGGAGAAGCGTGGGGCTCAGAGGTCCTCACCACCAGTTCTTTCTTGGCCACATGAGAAGACAACACCCCCAGTTCCAGTTATATTAAAAAAAAAAAACAAAACAAAAACCAAAAACCAAAAAAAAAAAAAACCCGTCCAATCATGTTCCTTTTGTATTAGTTTTCTGTTGCTGAATAACAAATTACCACAATTTGGTAGATTCAAACAATAATAAATTTATTATTCAACAGTTTGAAAAGCTCACCTGAGGCCAGGTGCAGTGGCTCCGCCTGTAAACCCAGCACTTTGGGAGACCAAGGCAGGCAGATCACCTGAGATCAGGAGTTCAAGACCAGCCTGGCCAACATGGCAAAACCCTGTCTCTACTAAAAATACAAAAAAATTAGCTGGGGGTGGTGGTGGGCACCTGTAATCCCAGCTACTCGGGAGGCTGAGGCAAGAAAATCACTTGAGCCCAGGAAGCGGAAGTTGCAGTGAGGCGAGATCATGCCACTGAACTCCAGTCTGGGCAACAGAGCAGGACTCCATCTCAAAGAAACAAAACAAAACAAAACAAAACAAAACAAAACAAAACAAAAAGAAAAAGAAGAAAGCTCACCTGTCTCAGTTAGGCTCAACCAGGGTAATCCCTTTTTGGGTAACTCAAGCTCAACTGATAAGTGGCCATAATTACACTGGCAAAATCTTTTCACCTTTGCTATACAGTGTATTTGTGCACAAATGATATTTTCTTTTTTCTTTCTTTCTTTCTTTCTTTTTTTTTTTTGAGATGGAGTCGCCCAGGCTGGAGTGCAATGGCATGATCTTGGCTCACTGCAACTTCCACCTACTAGGTTCAAGCAATTCTCCTGCCTTAGCCTCCCAAGTAGCTGGGATTACAGGCACACAACCGTGCCTGGCTATTTTTGTATTTTTAGTAGAGACAGGGTTTCGCCATGTTGGCCAGGCTGATCTTGAACTCCTGACCTCAAGTGATCTGCTGGGTTCAGCTTCCCAAAGTTCTGGGATTACAGATATGAGCCACTGCTCCCGGCTCACAAATGATATTTTAATTCATACACCAAAGGGAAGGGGAATATACAGAATATGCACACCTGGGTTGGAAATTTAGGGCCCATCTTAGAATTCTGACTACTACTTTTTTTTTCTTTTTTTTTGAGATGGAGTCTCACTCTGTCACCGAGGCTGGAGTGCAGTGGTGCCATCTCAGCTCACTGCAATCTCTGCCATCCAGGTTCAAGCAATTCTCCTGCCTCAGCCTCCCGAGCAGCTGAGATTACAGGTGCCTGCCACTGTGCCCGGCTAATTTTTATAGTTTTAGTAGAGACGGGGTTTCACCTTGTTGGCCATGCTGGTCGCGAACTCCTGACCTCGTGATCCACCCACCTAGGCCTCCCAAAGTGCTGGGATTACAGGCGTGAGCCATCGCGCCCAGCCTGCCTACCACTTCTATAAGCCATTAGGCTGCTGTCATTTCAGGACTTTAAGAAACAACACAAATAGCATGCTATGCTATACCTGTTGTCTACATAGAGGACTAAGTGGTGTGCTATATAAGGTGTTGGAGGTTTTGGAAAACAGTCGTCAGCACTTTTCCTACCTGTGTACTCCTAACCAAAGTGAGAAGTAATGAACAAGAACCAAGGGGGATGAAAATGTAGTAAATGTGTTCACGGTAAAGCTAATTAAAGAACATAGCAGGTTTGCCTATTTCCCTTCTTGATTTAGATTTTGGTCTCTCTAGCTTGTCACAGAGAGAAAAGCTGGAAGATGGTGGACCTGCTAAAGCCAACTTTGTTTGTCTCTTTTCCACATGGAAGAAACTCACCTATGTTATTGATACCTAAAAAGGAAGAGTGAAACAAGAAGGAGATGGGCCTGTCTCTGTACTGTTTGAGCTTCAGGGCAGTGGCTTTACTTATGATGCAGTAGCAAACAATCCCCAAGTCGCAGTGGTTAACAAAAACACATATATTTTTTCCTCATGGCATCTGTCTGACACTGGTGGGCAAGGATGCTCTGTTCTTCAGACTCTCACAGGGACCCAGGCTGACAGACGCCTCATCTCAACCTGGGACTTCTTCAGTCACGGCAGCAGCAAGAAGGGAGAGTGGAAACTTATTCACCAGCTCTTAATGTTTACAGTCCTAAGTAACACATGCCACTTTTGATCCATATTTATTGAACAAAGCAAGTTGTGTGGCTACACACGAAAGAGGAAGTACCATCGTAACAGAAGCCATAAAGTGAAGGAGAATCAAAAATCTTTGGTAGACAGCATTCACAGCTACCACACGTGGGCTTAGTGAATGTCATTCGTCTCCCACAGGAGATGCAGGAATTAAAGAAGGCCCCAAAGGTCTTCACTCCAATACTGTCCCCTCCAAGACAGCGGAACATGCGATTTCCACATATGAAAAGAGAAAAGTAACAGTTCCCTTTTACCAGTAAAGGTAGGAAACAGAAAACAATCGTGAAGCTGCCCTGGAGGGCCACGCCCCACCTTCCCGGAGACTGTCGCAGTAAGTAGCTAGCAAAAACAGCTCTCCAAGGCCGCTTTACAGGCAGCTGAGAGAGGTCCTAGCCCCACAGACAGGCTCCAAATAGGAAGAGGGAGACTGTGCCTGCCACATTTGAGGAGGCCGCCTTCAAATTCATGCTGTATGTCTGGAGTCGCTGTGCCGAACAGGATCTGTGAGCTGGCTCTGTGCTGGGTGAGAAGTGTGCAGCCTGGTGCCAGAACGCGAGTGCACATCAAAATCCTGGCACAGGCTCTCCTCAGAAACGGACAGAAGACCAACTGTAACATACGGCTCATTCTTCTCACGTCATAAACGTAAAGGCATTAATCACTGGGAGGCCTCCCAGAAATTAAAGTTCATCTTTTGGTTATGGGGTGTCAAAAGGCAAATGCGGAATGTTTTAAATTTGCTTCGTTTTCCTGCGAGATAAAATACAGGTTTCCAATGCTGGCTCTATCATCAAAACAGTCTCCTGGCCCTGCCAAAGCTAACATAAAGAACCCAGAACTCCACACAGGTTTCTCATTTATAGCATAATTTCCTTCAAAGACGACTACTTTAAAATGTAGATTAACCCTTAATGTCTGAATTTTCCAAAGCGAAACTTTGAAACAATGAGGTCCCATCTGCCAGTGCTAAAAAACCAAGCAGCAAGGGAGTCACCCATGGCATTCTGCAGTGCGGGTGGGCGGGCTCTGCCTGGCCTGCTGACTGTCCATGCCGCAGTGAGCACCAGGCTGCACTCTCAAAGTGGAGCCTCGGGTCAGTCCTCAGGTGGAGAGATAACTGCTGTGCTCTCAAGCTATGTATTATGATCATCTGATAAAAGAAGAAAGAAATTCATGATCTGTTTTTTCTTCTTTGAGAAAGTACTAAAGCTTGTTTTTTCATTACCACCTAAATGAAACAATTCAAATGAAGCAGACACTCCTGAAAAGTGATCATCAGACATTTATCAGACTAGTCTTAAGAGTCTAAATATGAACACATGCGAACCGATTACTTCACATTCATCCCCCAAATGGAAGTATGTATTTGTTGATCTATGTATTCTACCTAATAACTTTTGCTTGTGAAAGAAAAGGGAAAGTGATAGTTGAAGGGACTGCAAACTCTCCATCGGAGTGTGCATGCCTACGTGTTTGTGTGTGTGTGTGTATGTGTGTATGTGTGTGCACCTGTGGGCTGGCTTACATGCTCACTTGCACAGTGTCATTACAAATTGAACCTGAATGACTTCAGGTGGGGGATAACCTCTTAATTTTCCACAGTCCTCACTAGTCCCTATTGTCTTAAAGCTTGATTTGCTTATTTATGCTACCTACTCTATTGATGTAGACATTTGAGTTTGCGTGTTAATGTTTTAAAGCAGCATGTAACTGTGCTCCATAACTATGCCTGCCTTTGAGGTCTTACTGAAAATGCAAATGGCAAGTCCTTAAATTCTGATGGACCACACCCACAGCATAAAATTTCACCTGGGAAATTGGAACAATACCAAAGGCCTATTATGAAGATTAGCATAGCATATGTAAAGGATCTAAACCCAGTGCCTGGCACATAGTATCACCAAAACATGGCACTCAGTAAATGCCAGCAATGATGATAGTGAAACATAACCTACAGGGTTAGTGTTATGATTGAGAAATTGGACTTTAGTGTATACAAGTCTGGGTTCGAATCCCAGTTTCACCATTTACCGGTCATGTGACTTCTTAGGAAAGGGAGATAAGGTTAAGGACACACATTTAAGAATCATTAAAGTGTGTGAGGTTTCCCAAAGGAGAGGAGTAGGTACATAGAAGGGATTTCATTGGTTTGAGAAGAAAGAGCCCTGTGGAAGAGCAGCCTTAAAAGGTTGAAGACCCAGAAGAATGGAAAGATCAGAAATCCAAGGGAAGATAAAATTTCAAAAAAGAAGAGACATTATTAAAACTGCTCAATTCTATTGCATAATAAGAGTACTATCAACAGACCCATGGAAGCTGGAACAGAAGAACTTTAAACCTAGACATTTTGTTGGCATCTCCCAAAGGATTCGAGGCATAACTCAATGGCCTAGTATAGAAAGCCCAAAGACTTCAGTATTCTGAACTGTGTCTGTGGGATCAGATTCCTCTAGAGAAATCATTTTCTCTGTGCATGGAACATAATAAAAAGCTTCAAACTGGTAACTAACAAAAGTAATTGCTGGAAAATACCTTGTTTCCCTCATCACTGAAGACCTGCTGGATAAAACGTATTTTTTAACAATAATTTTTCAATACAATCACTAATAAAATGTAAATAATAAAAAGGATAAACATCCGTTATAAAATTATCATTATTCATTCTCCATGCTTGATAATTTATTCCTGCCCTTTATTTATCTTCCAAATGCCCATTTTAATTTTTAAGTGATTGTATATCATTGGATTAAATTTGTCTTTACAGAATAAATGCTTTTGCCACATACTTTTCTTAACATGCAGCCTCTAGTGAATTCAATTTTTGACCTTATTTGGCTTTTCAATCCAGTGGGAAGTAACTTATTTTAAATAAAATGAGGAAGTCAACTTACCCTTAAACCCAGAGGTTAATCTCCATGTAAGCCATTTTTGCACATTTAATTGGTGTGGGAAATTTTGCTAAGATAACTTTTGCAGGGGCTTTACAGAATGCTCTTCAGAAAGCCTTCTTGGAGCTCATGAAATTTCCAGACTTCTTAACCAAAATAACATCTCTAGGCAAAGGATTATACTCACATATTGTGGTTGTGGGGCTTTCATAAGTTAATGCAGAATATCATATACATCTTAGGGGAAGATTTTACTTCTTGGTATAGGAGTCCACTTTTTGCACTTTTATAGTAGTTTCATCCCAGTGTTTGACACTGAGCATGTACTATAAGCACTATAGGGAATATGGAGATACTAGATATTAACAATACTACATCTTTAGGTAGACGGAAATTCACATATTGAAGGCCAACTATATGCTCTGCTATTGGATTAAGCAGGTATTCGCTAATACGCGAATATAGACGAAACAAGGCTGGATATACTTTTCACATGGAATAGGTAGTTAATATATAGTATGAGTTCAAAGGATTGCAAGTCACTTGTGGCTGACTATAGAAGGCTTCATGGAGGAGGTGCTGTTTTCACTTGGAAAATATAAGATATTAATTGATGTAATTAAAGATTACTCCAGGAGACAGAGATGGTATAAGCAGTCACTAAAATATGAAAATCTAAATATGTTTAGGGAAGGAGAATAGACTAAGATGCTCTAGGAAAAAAAAATAATCCCCTAGAGGGTTATTAGAGAGGTGAGGTTGGGAGCATATGGTGGGGTGAGGTCCTTAATTCCAGGGTGAGGTGCTTTATTAATTTGGTAGAAAGCTGGATGCTACTTAAGGTTTGGTAACCACGTTTCAGGATGATCAGTCTGTCAGGAATGCAAATGAGATATTGGAGTAATAAAAGTTTGGGGATAGTACGTCCTGTTGGAAGACTTAACAGCTGTAAATATTTCTAACAGTTAAGTGTCTCACTAAGATATTAGTTTTATGTTTCTGTATCTGGGAGTATAGCCACAAAATGAACAGAGATAGAACATCTAAAAAAGCAGGTTTGAAGGGCAAGCTGAGTTCTGTTTTAGGAAACGTGAATTGGAAGTGACTTCAGTGTATATATAGAGAAATGTCAAATAGACAGGTACATCTACAATAACTTCTCTAAAGCCCTGGGATCATTTATGTTTCAGAATCAGATGTTTGTAGGTTTTAGAAAGGTCACATGGAACATAAAATACATATTATCTAACAACTCCAGCATGCCTGAGGCAGCATCTAAAAATTAAACACAATTATAAGTGGCCTATAAACAGCATGATGTAAGTTAAGGTAAAATTTTACCACCAAATGAGTAGAAGTCAGATTAGATTTTACTGTCAAATGAATGAAAAGAAAGCTCTGAAAAGTTGCAGAGCTTTTGGATTTCAGAGTTGCCAATCAGGGGCCATGGGCTTGGGAAAGCTCAGGATGGAACTTTGAGTTGACACCTTCCTGAGCCCTGACCCAGCCCGGACTCAGGCTGTGAATTGTCCTGCCTTCCTCGCTCTCTCCCACTACTCTTTCCAGCTTGACATTAATTCATGATTTACATGGAGACCATGCCTCTGTCCTTGCTCTGCCCAGATGGACTCTGGGGAAAAACTCTGAGTCCCAGACTAAACTCACTTTGGCCTGTGAGCCCTACTGGTAACTTTAGCTCGAACATTTGGATTCCACACTGTAAGGGAAAACATTTACTGGAGCTTTCAATTTTTTGAATATAAAAATAATATATGTTATAAAAAATTTAGAAATTTGGAAGGAAATAATGGAGAAAATAAACATCACACATAATCCCATTATTTCAAAATAACCAATGTTAACATTTTCTGTGTTTACTTCCAGGTTTTTTTTTCTTTGAATATGTAGTAGATAAAGTATATCCTGTTTCTAACTGCCTGCCGTATCAACAAAGTAAATGTTAGAACCAGCATTCCAGTAACTCAGCACCCACACTTGGTCTTCTTCCCTAAAGACGAAGCTTGTCTTATTCACTGCTATATCACAAGGTATATTGTGGGCACTTGATGAATAGTCATTGACTATAAATTATGGAATAAATTAATGTATGCAAAATTCCAGGGCCTCAGAACCCTTTTTCCTGACAGTATTTGCTTACGGGAGCTCAAAGAGTTATCTCAGGTCTACCCATTGCACTCATTCCACAGTGATAGCTCCATTTTGTCTTTTCTTATTCTGACTCCTCTGGATGGATGCTTATAGCTGTGAAAAATGAGTTTCTCCATGTCTATATCACAGGCAGACATGGAATTAATCTTCCTCAAGGTAGTTTGCTCAGACCTGGTACTAAAGGGCACGTCAGAGTTAGGGACGCTAAAATTCCCAGCTGAGAAACAGTTCCTTGGTAGGGTGTCCACTGTACACACCAAAAAGTAAACATGCTCCATCCCGTCATGGGCCATAATAAATAGTGTTATAAGTTTCCATACTCACCACACAGCAGCATGTATCCCTGATTAATGGTCTTCAGGAATATTTCTCATCAAACTAGAATGTGAAGTGGAAGACAAGTCAAACTTTAGTAACTCTTTTGATATGAATCTTATGAATATGTGATACCACTAGAAGAAAGCAGCAGTTGGTTTCATACTTTTTAGAAATACACAAAAGAAATAAATAGAAAAACACAAGTCTTTCAGGTTTGCTTGATTTGTTATTTATTGTTCGGGGGGAAAAAGCTATAATTATTTCATCTAGTTCAAAGAGACAAAATAGTCTGGGGCTATACTGAATAAACCAAATTTAGACAAACCATCCAAATAAAAAGAAACACAATGTTGTAAGTTAAAATTTTGTACCTCTAAGACAAAAAAAGCTCCCTATCCTTGCAGTTTACAAGATGCCCCAGAGGCTGGGTGGAGAAGTGCCTTTTCCTCGCTCTTTCTTCACCCTCCCCATAACCCAACATCATCTTCACTCTACCTCTTTCTTCTTCCAGTACAGGTAGCACGATATGAGCAGGGTTTAGTCTTCTTGATTGCAATATACATATTTTAAATCTTAAATAGAATTGTGGCCACATGCTTGCCATCAACTTCAATTGCAGTAATGTGATCAAATTACTGTCTACCTAATTAACCTCTGGGTCCAGCTTATCACAAGGATCTCAGAGTCCTAACATTTTTAAACAAGGGCAATCAACTATATGCATACAAAGCGCTTGGTTGCATTTAATTGTATAGGTATCATCGTGACCACAAATCCATGGAGATGAAACAAGACTAAATAAAGGTACAATTTATTTGCAAACCCCTACCAATGGAAAAACTGGCCATGTCTAAGCCAGCTAAACAGATATACAACCTAACATTACTATCTGCACAACTAAAGTTAAATGCTACAATGACAATACTTTCAGTAACCGTTTGCTTGAGACTGGATATGATTTTTCTGGATAGGTAGGGCAGTTCCCCAGCTTTATCTTTCTGTAGATCATCCTCTTCACACAGAAAACCTGGTATAACTTCCCAGCCTCTATCTATACAGTCGTTCTCATTAAATATGTTTTTAAAAAGTGATCAATCAGATATCTTTAGCACTCCAGAGAAACGGAGGGTGAGAAGCAGTCTTCTAAATATGTTGATATTAACTGGCTACATGAGTTATAATTTCTTTACAAACACCTTTCATCAAACTCTCCATCTGAAGTTACCCATTTTAGTTAATGATATAATCCTTTCTCTCTGAACCAATTTCATAGATATAAATGTAAATTGTATTACCAATTCTCAATGTTTCATTACACTTATCTCTGCAGTTCCACTATAATGAAGACTTGCATCAATTCATACATACAATCTCTACCTGATCTTATTGCCACCAGACTCTCTCCTCTCTGTTTTCCTTATACCTATTTGCCAAGCTAACTTCTTAAAAATCTTATTAATTGTGCATTTACAGAACCTAAAATAACTTCTGGTATCTAGTATAGTAAAACCTGTAGTCCTTAATAATCTGGTCCCACCTGTATCATTTTTTCCCAACTGTATCACTTTCCGTGACTTGCCAATGTGTGCCTTTTACTCCAGTTTGATGAGTTTCACCTATGTTTCCCACCTCATCTGTAAATTCCTCTGCCTCCTCTTCATCCAGAAATCCCTCCCCTCCTTAAGTCCCATTCCAAATATAGCTCTTCCAAAAATATTCACTTTCTTCACAAACTGCACAAAGTGTTCTTTCTGCTGTCATTTTCATTTATTCTACAATTTTGGTTTTTGTCCTGTATTTTGTAATTATTAAATGAAATAAATTCTCTCATACATAAATTCAATTGCCTTCATAAAAAAGAGCATGTTATATTTTGTGCCGATATAACTCAAAGCACAAAAGTTACCACATAATGGTCATTTGAAGTATTAATTAAATAATTTTAGATTCTCTGCTATTGGATCTAATAATTATTTTTTCATTTCCTAAATCCATATTGTAATTGTTGGTACCAGACATCTCATTTCCCTCCATTTGTTTTATATTTGCAAGTTTTGTTTTGAATACTTAATAGGTCTTATGTCAGTACTGTTCATTTATACCCCGATTTATTGCCCCCAAAATTCAAGGTGGTTTACAAGAACACATGTTTATCTTGTATTACTCATTGGTAGGAAATAAGAAAAAAAAAATTAAAAGAATGTAATCTGTTATCCACATTCAAATATGCCCTAGGTGACTTCAAAACAAAGCCTTTTAATAAACAGATAAGCACTATGTTAAGTTTTTCAACTGGCTGAGAGATCCACGTGTATCCAATTATCTTTCCTTGCTTTAACCATGAGCCTTAAAAATATCTTCCAGGCTGGGCTTGATGGCTCATGTCTGTAACCCCAGCACTTGGGGAGGCCAAGTTGGAAGGTTCTTAAAAGGCTAGAAGTTCAAGACCATCCTTGACAACATAGTGTGACCATCTCTCTAGTATAATAAAACATGTTAAAAATATTGCATTTTATGTGGTTGGTTTGTTGGGATTTTTGTATTGATTAGTTTCCATATTTCTATTTTTCCTTAGTTTTAATTTTATAAAATCTTTAATTCAAAAGAGTTTAAAAGAGCCAAATAGTCCCAGAATTTTTTTTTTTTTTTTTGAGTCGGAGTTTCGTTCTTATTGTCCAGGCTGGAGTGCAATGGCGCAATCTTGGCTCACTGCACCCTCTGCCTCCCAGGTTCAAGCAATTCTCCTGCCTCAGCCCCCCAAGTAGCTGGGATTACAGGCACGTACCACCACACCAGGCTAATTTTTTTGTATTTAGTAGAGACAGGGTTTCACCATTTTGGCCAGGCTCGTCTCAAACTCCTGACCTCAAGTTATCCCTGCCTTGGCCTCCCAAAGTGCTGGGATTACAGGTGTGAGCCACTGCACCTGGCCCAGAAATTTTATTATGAAAATTAGTAAATCCCCACTTCTACTTTCCAATTTTCCCCCTCCATAGCCACAATTTTTATCTCTCTTAGCCAATTATGTTGGTATATATCACCATGTTTCTACTTTTCACCTGATTATTTTGGCATAACTTACCATATTTCTAAAGAACATAATCTTTTTTGCTGCTTCTTGAGTTTGAGTTCTCAGTTTTAAGTATTGTTTATATACTTCCACTGCAGATCACAAGCATTTAGCATTCTCTCCTCTCAACCGCTCACCCCCTAATATTTAGAACAATTTCACCATATTCCGTGGAAGTTACATTGTAACTTCTTTAGATTAATATTCAGAGTATACATTATTACAATAATAAATTTTTTCTTTAAGCTGAGCTGTGTAATAGACTATAATCAGTGATACGGTTTGGCTCTGTGTCCGCACCCAAATCTCATCTCAAATTTTGATCCCCATACTTCCCATGTGTGGAGGAAGGAACCCTGTGGGAGGTGATTGGATGATGGTGGCAGTTTCCCCATGCTGTTCTCATGATAGTGAGTGAGTTCTCATGAGAGCTGATGGTTTTAAAGTGTGATACTCACTCATTCTCCCACACACTTCCTCCTGCCGCCTTGTGAGGAAGGTGCCTGCTTCCCCTTCACCTTCTGCCTTGATTGTAAGTTTCCTGAGGCCTCCTAGCCATTCTTCGTGTTAAGCCTGCAGGACTGTGAGTCAATTAAACCTCTTTCTGTTAAGCCTGCAGGACTGTGAGTCAATTAAACCTCTTTCGTTTGTAATTACCCAGTCTCAGGTAGTATTCTTTATAGCAGTGTGAGAACAGATTAATACAATTAGTTTTCCCTAGTTATTGCATATTTCTGTTGTTTTCCCTAGTTATTGCATATATCTTATTCATTTGCTTGGTTCTTTTTACACTCATTACTAATTGAGCTCCAAACTCTATCAATTACTAAATCTCCTCTTTAGATGTTCAGATGTGTCAGGCATTCAGTTTCAACTGCTTAAAGAGGATTTTTTTCCAGGAGCCTCTAGATTTACCCTTCAGAGCTAATTTCCTTGTACAAGTAGTGCACAGCTTTTAGTCTGGAGTCTTCCTTTCACTGCTTTTCTGTGCTGGATCTCGTGCTGCCCAAATCTCATGTGTTCACTATTCTTGTTTTATTCATTTGATTGGTGGAACACATTCTCCAATATCTTATTAGGTAAAGAAATGTGTTATTTGAGAATGTGAATGGTTGAAAATAGTCTTGAGTCTCCGATGATTGATACCTGGCTACGTAGACTTCTAATTGGGCATTCTTTTTCTTTAGAAAATTTTTGAAGATAGTTCTTCATTGACTTTTAGGTTCAATGTTACCTTGAAAAGTCCAGAGTTATTCTGATTACTTTTAGTAGATTTGCTTTATTTTGTTTCTTTCTTCTCCCTGAAACTATATATACTATTTCTTCCTTTGAATCCTTGATTATGAAATTTTGTGATGATTGTTTTGGTGTGTGGTGATTCCAACATTTATATAAAACCTCAGGAACCATTTCAATCTGAAAAAAGAAATTGTTTTATTACAAGAAAATAATTAATGTTTTACTTCTCATTTTTTCTATTTTTTATAGAATTTCTATTTTTCAGGTATTAGACCTACTAGACTGGTCCTGTAAATTTCTCATTTTTTTTCTCCTGTTTTCAATGTTGTTGACATTTTTGCTCTATTTTCTGGAAGATTTTCTCAACTTCTTCCAACTATCTCTTTACATATTTTTTTCTCTCATTAAATTTTAAATTTCTAGTTGCTTTATTTTTTTGGCTTTCTTTATGTCCATTTTTATAGTACCCTGTTCTTGTTTTATGGTTACAATATTTCTTCTTCCTTTTTAAAATGTTCTTCTTTCTCCTCTGTTTTTTTTTCTGATTATTTTGTTACACTTCCTGTATTTCATGTTAGCAATTAACATTATAATATTTGGTCATCTATCAATATTTACAAAATAATCACATCCTTTGTGTTTCTCAGTTCCTAATTGCATTTTAAGATGGAAAACATATGGCTTCTGATATTTAAACTCCATTTTATATATGAAGAAAAAGATAACAAGCATATAATGTAGCAACTACACTGATAAATTTGAAAATTCAGTGGAAAAAATTAATAAGCCAATAAAAACAAGCTTTTAATAATTAAAGAAAATTATAATCTGCTGTAATATTTGACAAAAATTTCTATTTCATTTATGCAATGGAAAGTAATCTCTATGGCTATTGCAACATCTAACTTTCTCAATCTATAATCATGGAAGTCCTATTTGGAAAAAAAGTTATTTCCACCCTGAACAAGGACCATGACAAGGGGAAAAAGTAATTAGAAGCTAGTGTAAAAGACCAGCTTTTGGTAATTTTGAGCTAATGAGATAGGTAGACTATGCAGGAAATTCAATTTGGCATTCAAAGATATATAGATAAAGAATTTAAAGAGAAATCAGTTTTCTAGCCCCCAAATAGTTTCTCAGATAAAGAAAGTAGAAAATTTTGACCCACAGCATGTTATTTTCAGACCAAATGAGATTTGTACTTTTTCCAAAGTGTTTTGTGCGTGTTTAAAGTTAGAAAGATGAAAACCCCATTAGCAATAGACTATTTTTCATGACTCAATTAATATCTAGCATTTGCAGGCTCTTCATAAGATAGGTGATAGAAAGATCAATCCACAGTTTTATTCATAAAGGCAATTTGCCACAGATCTTTAGCATGTTAGCCAGCTAAGAAAGAAAAATAAGCAGTAAACGAAGGAGTGGTCATATAAGCACTATAGATAATTGGTTTCAGATGATCTTCTATTCTTTCTGTAAGAGTAAGTTCTCAAATGCAACAAAGCTTAAATTCCCCAAAATTAATAATTAGTTTAATAAACATTTTTAAGTAAAAGTTTTGTAAATAAAATTACTAGATATTATACCTAATAAATAAAAACTGGGGATGAACCTTATTTTTTAAAAGAAAAACATGTTTAAATCCAAGAGCTTCAGAATTAAAAATCATTCACAAGCATACAAAGAACCATGTATGTATATGTGATTCAAAACTGAACAAACTAGGTTATCAAAAGTTTAAAAGAATGAAAAAATACCGAAAAGTCAGAAAATTATGCAGGAGAAACAAAGTTAGGATGGTGTGTGTTATCCTCCACTAACACATACTTATTTTTGGAGCTTCTTCCTTATTTGACTTCTCTTTGAGTCATAGGCACAGTAGATACGAATAGACTTACAAGTACAACTCAGGAAATCCCAAAAAGCTAATAGGTATTACATGAGAAATTTTTAAACTTTGAAGTAATGTTTATAATAGGAATTAAAAAATATATCTTATGTTTGTTCAGCTGAACTTAGATTTATTTCCATAATAACCAATAAAATTAATGAAAATGAAAATATTCTAAAGCTGTTTAATATTCCAAATTTAGATAAACACGAAAAAATGTTTTACTAAACACCTTTGCATTAAATCTATAATAAGCAATAATAATATACATGATTTGGAGACAGGCAATTCTTGAGCCTATCTATATGTATATCAGATATATAAATACAATATTTAAAACAATATAACCTGCCAGCTCTCTGCTCTTTGAAATTCTCTACCAACTTTAACTCAGAATTTGATTACTCAGAAGAAAATTATTGTTAAAAGTTGAAAGGATCTCTACAATGCCTATGCTAGTGATAGGTTTTTTCAGGCCTGGGAGAAATAGCCTCAAACTTGAGTCCGCAGGATATGTCTTCGGTGCAACAGTAAATGCTGTTTTGCCTCAAAGAGTAGTGGGAACGACAGGAAAAGAGTGAAGAGTGAACATGCTGGTCAGCATATAGAGCTGAATGTAAGACATCCTCTCACAAGAACTGTGTTTCCAGCAAAATCCATTTACTTCATTTGATTGAAGGCTGAGCAGCACTATGGGAAGAGAGCCATGTTAGAAAGTGAGAGAATTAGCCTGGGCGATAGAGTGAGACCGCATCTCTACAAAAAATTTTTAAAAATTAGCTGAGCATGGTGGCACATACCTGTAATCCCAGCTACTAGGGAGGCTGAGATGGAAAGATCACTTGAGCCTGGGAGACAAAAGCTGCAGTGAGTTGAGATTGTACCACTGCACTCCAGCCTCAGGAATACAGCAGATCCCCTGTCTTAAAAAAGAAAAAAGGAAAAAAAAAAAAAAAAGTAAGAGAAGTAAATTCTGGTTATATCTTGGCCACTAAAGATACAGGACTACAACACTGAACTTCTCTGTATGCCAGTTTTCTCATTTGTAATGGGTTATGGTCAAATCAATTTAGAAAGTTGAAGGAATTATAGAGGAAACATCTATTAAACAAGAGAATAAATTTCAGTAGCACGCTTCATTGCCTGCAATGTCATAACCGGAAGTAGTAATACTAAAGGAGGCTGGCAGTGATAGAAATTAGATCAGTGAAAAGGCAATAAAGAGAAGGGGCAAGAGACAAACCTTAGAGCCATTTGACCTCATTTATGGAGTGTGGAAAATGATGAAGGTAATTTCTTAGTCCAACCATTTCTACCATCAGCCAGCAGGTATCACAAGGCAGAATGCAAAAGGTTTTCTTTTCCAAGACTATGAAGGCAAAGCTAGTAATTTATCAACCGTGTTCCATTTGGATATTTCATAGAAAGAACTATTTATTAATAGATCTCTTTCTCAGTAATGCCATCCAAATAGAAACAGTGTGAACATTTTAAACTAAATTATTAAGTAAAAAAAGTTTTAGTTTGATTTATAAGTCTCTTTTCAAACACTGTTACTCTTAAACTTTGTAGAAAATTCAAAGTCATGTGTTTTTAGCATTTAAACCAAGGGTAGACCATGTATTTTAGATGATTAGGAAGAAAACTAGATGCTGTTATAAATATAGTTTAAAGAGACAAAAATAGATTCACCAAAATAAATAAATAAATAAAGTTTTCCAGATTATCCACAATACCACATGAAACAAGAAGGTATTTTCATAGTAATATTTCCATGAGACTGTAAAGAATAATTCCACCCATTTTTATACTAGAATTCTAACAATTCTGGTCATGAGAGGTGTTCTAAGCCATGGTTTCTGTAAATGGTACAATTTTATTTTATTTTTTGCCTTGTTGTTTTGAAATGAGATTGGCTATGTGCCTGGTGCTTTTTATAAGAATACATTTCTCAGTAATATCTGAATAATTTAGCTTTATTATATAGTATTTACAGGAACAACAGTAGATATTCATTTAAAACAGCATTTAATTCTATACACAGTCTCTAGTTCTTTCCCCTTTCCCTTGACTGTCAACGGAAAAATCACTATAAAATTTGAGGCATTAATAAATTACTAAATGTTTCTTTTCCTTTTCTCTAAGGTTAACTTACTTGTTTTTCAATTCAACATTTGTTAGGTTCTTCGATTCCAAGATTAATTTTTTGTTGCTCTAATGTAATGTTGCATATTCATTTGCAAAACAAAGACACATGGGCAAAAACTTCTGCAATATTGTCTGTCTAGGGACAGCTCTGAGGATTACAATATGTTCAGCTCTCAATTTTTTGAAACAACTTAGGGATGCAGTCTTTAGTTGAATTTCAAGATGGATTCTAATTTTTACATGGATCCTTCTGGCAAGGAAATTCTGAGTACCTTAAGGAACTGAAATAAAAAGTATAAGGCATGGATTCTTGAAATCCCCCCTCCATCTAGATGAAAATGAGCATAGGAAAACATATTGTGATAATCCAAAACATTCATTATGAAAATCATGTAAGATTTGAAACTCTCTCTGCAAGCTGCATTTGATTACAAACTTCTCTTGGGACTATGCCTAGGTATTCTTGGGCTTGTAACCAGACTACATTGCTTAGCCTACCAGCCATCACTTAACATGTTTTAATATCATTCAATGCCACAAGACCTATACTGTGCAAAAGTCCACATTTGATACACTCTCCACAGAGTCCTGATTTTTTTTCCCCAAAATTCCATATTAAACTTAGTAGCAACGTTAAAAATTCTCACTGTCCATATCTTCTATGATATTGCTGCTTTTTTTAGTTTTCTGAAAGTTCTGCTCGTTCTTCCATTAGCATTCCATTGATATTATATCTCCATGCCCAATGTTGAACTACAGGTATCTGATGGCAATGCTAGCTCTATTTACACTGCAGAGGGTCATATCTTCACTCACCCAGCAAGAACAGTAAAAAGTGGCCTGGAATGAGGAGAGATCTGAAGGAGGAAAGAAATAAGCAAAGGGGAGGAGAAGGGTCAGAGAGAATATTCTTACTTGAATTCTGTTCTATTGTATTCAATGATCACGCATATTCATCAGCAACACTCTATATTCAGAAAATGTGCCCCATCATGGTATGGTTTGATGTATGAAACTAGAAGGTACCCAGTCATAAGGGAAATTTGTAAAGAGGCCCTTAGATTCATATAGCAAAGGGTAGGCAAGGAGGAATTTTAGATTAATATTTCTATAAAACGTCACTTTTGTATAACTTAATACTTCTGTTTCAATCTTTAGTTCTTCTATAATTCTTAGAGGGCAATGACAAGCTTTTCATTCTGGAATTCAAGATCTTTCCAGTTTGACTCTGAACTACTTTTCCAGTTTTACTTCTACTTCTCATAAAAACTAGACAATTTTACAACTTTGCTTTAGATATCCCTTTTGTCTCTTTATTTTCCCCCTAGAACACCCTCCCCAGGCTTTTCTTTTTATTTATTCAAACCTCATTAATCTTTCAAGGCACATTTCAAATGCTTCTGAAATGCCTTTCCCATTAAACTCAACTGTATTTAAAAAGTAGAATTTGCTCTCTTCACCTGGATAAGTCTGGCCTCACCTTCTTTTGAAGTTCTATAATCCTGTATAATATTTATTTATTCATTCAAAAAGTGCTTCCTCAGTTCCTACTTGTACAACAGTACACACTTGTATAAGCAGCAAAAATATAGGCCTTCCAGGTTACATGCTAGAAAATTAAGGCAATCACATGCAACTATACTATAAGTGATAATGTAAATGGTATAGGTAAAGGGTAAACAGAGTGCTATAAAGCATCAGGGGAAAAAAACTTGATTTAGACAGAGGCAATAGATGTCATTTTAGCAGAAAATCCTAAAGTATTTCTTGAGTTCAGTTTCCCCTCATGTTACTTTTCATATAGTGCACTATGGAATTTTATTTTCACTTTGCTTGCATTCCATCTGTGGTTTATTAGTTCGTTTTGAATGTGGGGACTTTCTCAATTTACCTCCAGCTGGAAGTAACAGGAAACCTTGACAGCTGGCTTACACAACAAGAAGATGTACTTAAAAAATACAGGAAACCTAGACAAAGTGTGATGCTGGGTTGGTTCAGAGAGTGGCTCACCTCTGCTCCATCATCAGAAGACTCTTGGCTGTTCTTGGACCTTCTCCTCCCATGTCTACAAGATGATTGCAATAGTTGTGAGCTTCACATCTAAACAGGACTATGTCCAGAAGAAGAGGGAGGACATTCATTTTTTGTTCCTCCTTTTACGAATAAATAAGCCCTTCCCAGGAACCTAGCAGCAGACTATTTAATAACTAAAATTGTCTCACAGGCTGATGTCTAAGCCATCATTGGCAAAGGAAGGGGGGCATCAAATTGGTTAGACAAATTAAAAGCCTCTTTTTGACCAAAAGGAGAGCAGAACCAGCCTTTCCTGAGCACATGGCTGCCTAGAGGAAGATGAACATCTGGACAATATTAAGAGGGAGGGAATAGATTTTGAAGAGACTGTCAAATAGTCTGTCTCAGGGACAGTTATGTGATAACTCACTATCCTAAAGGATGCTTCTAAAGTGCCTTGATTATAGCATGAATTTATTAAATATTTGTTATTTTTAGTCAAGTAAGAGAAAGAGAATCAAATTCATCCTCTTTAAACTCCATTCATCAACAGACAAGCAAAGGATCAGCACACAAATGAACCCAAGACACTGGCTTACTAATCAAGTGTGGCAAACAGAAAACCAATAACTGCCCTCACTGCCATCCCAGAGACAGAAAAAAAAGAGACACAGAAAGGCTTTGTGGCTTTTAGAAATCATAGGCCTAATTAGAATTATTCTAGTGATAGACATAAACTCCAAGAGTCTTGTGTAACCAAGACCAGCTTAGCCCAACTTGGTTAAGTTTGCCTTTAGTTCTATTCACGATTCTTTGAGCATCAATCCCACTGAACTTGGTTAAAAAAAAAATCATGTATTTAATTTCTCCAAAAATTATAATTCTACAAGTTTAAACAGTGCAATATAAAATCATTAGGTGCCTTCTATTTGTTTGTATACACATATATCGGCAGTATGACATCTTACACAAATGCACTACTGATTTGAATAATCTTTCTTCTCTTTGAGGAAATTATTTAAATCATGAATCATAAAAATGTCCTCAGAAGAAAAAAAATCATTCTATAATTACTTCCAAGAATGAAATATAACAATACAGCCTTTTTCTCTACATCTTAGCCTTCACAACACTATGATAAATGGGTATTTTCAAACCCATATAACAGATGTGGAATGTGAGGTTTAAGGACGTTAAATGCATATTCTGAAGTCACATATCTATAAATCAGGAAGCTGGGACTTATATCCAGGTATGCCATATTCCAAAGCCCAAACTTTTAACTGTCATTCTATAATCTTTTATAATATTTTTACTTACTTGTGGTAAATTTTATTTAAGTGAAATCTGATGTAACCATGAATGAGCCACAGAACATGTTAATTCACTGATTCAGTCTGTTCCCAGAAAAATAATGTGACACCCCTTAATTCTTGCATGGAATGAAGAAAATAATTCTATACTATATGAACTTCAAACCGAATAATTATCTCCATCTAAATACAAATAAAGATGCTCCCCATCATAAAAGGCATCATGACATGAGCCTTATTTGAAATGATAAGAATTATTGCATTTAGTTTCCTAGAAGTTTAAAGTGGATCTACATGGAAACCAGTCTCTCACTTTGACTGACAGCCACCTTTCCCTGTATTTTCCTGCATTATTGCATGTCTCAAGACAATCCATACTCAACACAGAACCAGTGTGATTTTTAAAAACACAAATCACTTCTCTGATGTTAGCAGGCTCACTGTGGAGCTGAATTCCCACCCCACCCAGCAGCAATGTGGTGAAACTAGCAAGATTAGTTGGCACCTCACTTCTCCCCAGCCCTGCCAGTGTCAGCAGGACTCAACAAGGAGCAAAACTTTCACCCTCAGCAGGAAGCAATGAGGCAGTGCAAGCTCTGCTTTCACCAGGGAGGTGTCAGTAGAGACCAGCAGGCAGCAAAGTTTTCACACCCACCCTCCACAATGAGGCAGAGTAAGGTGATGAAAATTAATACCTTGTTTATGCCAGAGTTGGGACAGCAGATCTCAAGCAGGGAGCTAACTCTCCACTCCCAATTGAACCTGCATGTTACACCTGAGCATGGTGATTTCCTATGAATTAAAGAACATTCAGTAACATTCAGAACCTCACAAACATAATGCCCAAAATGTCCAGGATACAATTGCAAATCATTCACTAAACCTAAAACAAAGGAAATCTCAACTGGGATGGGAAAAGACAATCAATTGATGGCAATGCTAAGATGATACAAATGTTGTAATTATGATAGCTGATTTTTAAAGCAGGTATCATAAAAATGCTTCAATTAATTATAGCATACAAACTAAAACAAATGAAAAACATAGAAAAATCTCAGCAAATAAATAGAAAATGCAAAGAGAAGTGAAAAGTTTAAAACTAGAAAATACAGTAATCAAAATGTTAAAACTCATTGGTTGACTCAATAGTGAAATAAATATACAGAGAAAAGAATCAATAACTTTAAAGGTGGAATAATGGAAATTTCTGGATCCAAAAAACAGAGAGAAATTAGACTGAAGAGAAATAAACAAATATCAGGAAGCTGAGGGACAATAAAAAAAGATCTAACTTGCATATTATTGAGAAGTCAATAAGCAGTGTGTAGCTGAAAAAGTATTTGATGAAATAATGGCTAAAAATTTTCAAATTTGGTGAAAGACATAAACTTATATATCCAAGAGTAAACCACAAACAGGATAAACCCAAAGAAATCCATGCCAAGATATATCATACACCATCCTCAAAGAACTAAAGAAAAAAAAGAACCTTGAAAACAGTGAAAGAAATGACACATTACTTACAGAGGAGTCATTATTTGAATGACAGTAGGTTTATCATCCTGAACTACAGGAGCCACAAGGAAGGGACATAATGTTTTTGAAATGCAAAAAAACAGTCAATCCTGAAGTTTACACCCAGCATTCCTTTTTTAGGAATGAAGATAAAATCAAGACATCTTCAGATGAAGGAAAACTAAGACAATTTGTCATCAACAGACCGACTCTAAAAGAATGTTCTTCCAACATAAATGAAATGAATTAAGAAGGAAATTGTAACATTAAGAATGAAGAAATAACTATGAAAAGAGCCAAAAAATGGATCACTAAAACAAACTATCTTTCTTCTTCTGAGTTTTCTAAATTATATTGAGACAGTTCAAGAAAAATTACATTGTCTGATGTGGTTCTCAATGTAAGTAGAGGAAATATTTAAGCAACAATGATATAAAGAAGAGTGGGTAAAGGGACCTATATCCAGATAAGTCTTCTACTCTTTACTTGAAGTGGGAAAATGCCCCTAGCAGAGTGTGATCAAAATATAAATCAGATTATATCACTTTCTTGATCAAACTTCTTAATTCTGATATCTTAAAAAGTAATCATCAGATTTTTTTATTTTAATATTCCAACTGCTGCAAGAGTACTATGAAACTGGCTCTTTGTCATTCACCCTTCAATGGATTTCCATTGCATTTTGAATAAACTCAAACTCCTTAATCTGACCTAAAATGAGATTCTGGCCATTTCTAACCTCTCTGATATCATTTATTAGCACAGTAGCTCCTAGCACTACCCTCAAACCATAGCAGGTTCCTTCTTCTCCTGGTCTGTACCAACTCATTTCCCTTGTTGGGCCTTTGCACTTGTTTTGCCCATCATTTGGAAATCTTTACCCCAGGCTTCGCACAGTCAGCTTCTAGGAATTATTCACTGCTCAAATCACATCCACAGTGATCTCTCCTGACTACCTAATCTAAAACAGATTCCCTCAATTCTTACACACCACCTCTCTTTCATTGTCTTCACGGCACTGTCACCTTTAAAAATTATCTTGTTCATTTACCTGTGTGCTCTTTTGTTTTGTCTATTTCCTTTTCCTAGAACATAAGCTCCATGAAAGCAAGGACCTGGCTTATCTTGTTCACTGCTGAATTTTCAGCACATAAAGCAGTTCATAGCACAGAACAGATACAAAACAAGTATTTGTTGAATACATGAATATCTATTGTTTTCTCTAAAAATCTGTTTAGATAAGGATGGCAAATGTGAAATTCAAACTGTTGTATAGACAAAAGACTGGATTGTTTTTACCAGTATTAACTTAGAAACATTTTTCATAAGCAACATTTCCAAAATCTTTCTACCTATCTCTGTAGAAATAGCAAGAAGCATTTTAATGTGAGCATATCTTTAAAAATAAGTATAAAAAACAGATTTGGTTTCAGCAATATTTTTGCCCTTCACATTTGGGAAACATTCTTTCTTATCTACAAAACTGAAAAGAGAAAATCCTTGTGAATTTATGTGTACTGCTTTTTCTATCTTAATGTATTTCTACCGTGCCATAGAGCATTAAATTTAAGAAAATTATGGTGGGCCTAGAGCAGGAACTGATAACTAGTTAATACATCTGACCTCCATAATCTTCCACTATCTTAAATATCTCATAGTGCAAAATATATTGCATTTTATTACAACTCACCAGATCATAAATGATTCTATGTGTTCATGAATATTGTCTAAATTGACCAATATCTTAGTCTGATTTCCCCAGGAAGCAGAGCCTGAAACAAAAACTTCAGTCTGAATATTTTATTAGAGTGCAAACCCAGGCAAATACAAGTGAGAGAGAGAGGAGTGAGCCAGAGAGGAACAGAAGAACTAATAATTGGATGTTTTACAGAGCTGGTATCAAATGCAACTCACTTTATCAAGTGAAAAAGATCCCACATGTTCACTACCAAAGTGGTAATTCTCTCTAGGTCTAGGAAAGGGGAAAAATTTACCCACTTGATCTAGCCTCCATTGGTCATAGATTTGTTCTTCAGAGCGGAAATTTCTAGCTCCCAGTCTTCTGTTCCTCCTCTCCCTGCATCTGGACTTCCGGATTGTACTCACATAAATGCTCAGCAGCTCCTTTGGGGTCTTATATGTCAGTATCAGCAAGGAAGCCCCCGGGCAGTAAGTGGGCATGGTCAGATTGTCTTTGTGAAATATGTTGGAGCTCAAACAGAACTGGCCACGTCAGCTGCTCTGGGACAGGACAAGGTAACAGAGACATGTAAGAACTACAGATCCCAGATATGTCTGATTCATCCACCCACTCCACTCGTTAGTGCTGACTAAACCTGTAATCTTATTATAAACCTAGGAAAAGCCATGATCAGTGAACAAGATTTAGAGCAGTAGAATAGGAAATGTCTACCCTTAGGGAAAAGGAGCTCCATTTGATAACTGCCAGTTCTGTGACAAGTACTGGGCTGAGCACTGGCTCCAGCACTTCCCGTATATTACCTTTAGAGCAGGAGACAGCATCCTTCTGCTCTGGAATACTGGCTTTGCTGTTGAGCAGTGCTCTTAACACTTCTGGAAATCAGGAAGGCTTTGAGCATCAGAGTGCAGAGAAAGAGAGATGGAAACGAAAAGAGGAAATAGTAGAGCAGAATGGGCAGCAGGAAGAACTAAGCATTTCAAATAGCTGTAGAGTGTACTGCCCCTAAGTACTCTAGGAGCTATTCAGACATTTGTGTCACTGATATTCAAGCTGTGGCCTTGAAAAGAAGACCCAGAGAAAAGAGGAAAGTGAACAATCACTTAGGAGACAGGGACAATTCAAATCAGGTATTAAATTCAAACAAGAAAACACAAGTGAACCTTAACAAAAATAATTTTTAAAACTTAACTCAAAGCAAGTACCATAAAAGAATCTCTAATAAATATAAGCCACAATATTATTTAAACAGGTCTGAAGACCTTGCATAATTAATTTGAGATGGAAAAGGATACCATCATTATCTTGATGGTTTTTCATAAAATTCTAAGAGCTAAAAGGAATCATGGGACCCCAACTCTTCATAAGCCCAGAGTTCTAGTCATGGGACTCCAGCTCTTCAACTACGGAGGATGTAACTATAAACTAGACAGATCAAGTGACTTGTCCAAAGTAGAGGAAGCTGGTGGCTACACCAGACCAGAACACAAGTCTCAATGTCAGTGCATTTCTTTACGTTTTTAAATTTTATTTTTAATTGACATATAATAATTGTACCTATTTATGGGGTACATAGTGATGTCTTCATTCGTATCTAGTGCGTATCCACCATCTGAAACATGTATTATTTCTTTGTGTTAGGAATATTTAATATCCTCCTTCTAGCTATTTGAAACGGTATATTATTGTTAACTATAGTCATCCAGTGCCATAGAACCCTAGAACTTATTCCTTCTATCTAGCTGTAATTTTGTATGCTTTAACAAATCTCTCCCTATCCGCCTTCTCCATGCCCATTTTCAATCAGGTTATTTAACTTTACTAGGAGAAATACAAAGCAAACATTTTCCTCCACTGGGAAAAACTAAATTAATAGAAAGGGTGAAAATGGGCTTTCAATTATTTTTAAGTTATTTATATATAGGATTAATAATGTTTTAGGCAAAAACTCACTTGTAAAAAAAAGTCGTAGTACCTTTTGATATTTGAGTACACGTTTTTTTTTAGTACTAACAAGAGATTCATTGACCTGATGTGAAAGTGCTAACTAAAATCAAACCCAGGAAGGACTGTCTGCTACTCATTGCTCTGTTTTCTCCTATTCAAAGGCTCTCATAAGTGCTAAATCTATATCTATTCATAGAACGATGAACTGCCAGCCTGTGCTCTAATGTACCACATTATCTACATTGACCAGGTCTCTGCAGAATCTTGGCAAGGATTCCTTCACCTGTTAGGAAACTAATTCATTGCAGTCAGACACATATCTATGCTTAACTTATGTCTATTGGACAAAAGGTTATTAAACAGAATGAATGTGAAGATTACATTAAAAGGTCTGACAGAAGGCAGAACTTCAGGGTTGAGACTTCATCCTCCCTTGAACACCAGCCATTGCAGCTACCTGAGGAGCCCTGAGCAAACATAGCCTGCTAGCGCAGCGATCACCTCTGTTGGGCAGGAGCAGAGGGTTAAAGACCTAAAAAAAATCTTGCCCTATGTCAAACAGGAGAATAAACAACCTTATTTTTGTTTTGTTTCAATACATTGGTAGTGTTCCTTTTTCTACACAGTTGCTGTTCTAAAACCTGCCTGTGCTGCAAGGGTCCTGGAGGAAACCTGAGGCAACTGGCCTGATTTGCATTGACTCCTGGTGACCTCCCTGCAGGCAAAGCCCTACGGACACCCTCTGGAAGTACAGGCAGAGTTTAAAACACAGGTTCTGCCTGTATGATATTTTTAAATTGTCAGAGTTAGGAGAAAGAGAAGCAAAAATGATTACTAAAATGATTCATTTTCTTCTAAAGTGCCTCAAGAGTCTCCAGAAATATTTAGCAACACTCCCACTGCATTTGTATTATTTAGATTTATTTTACTTGGAATAAAGTCATTTCTTTCCAACCCACATGTCCAAGGCATTCTCATTATCCTCAGAGCAGTCACATGACAGATGGTAATGGCTTCTTCTGTGCTAGAGAATGTCAATTGTCAAACTGTGGGGAGATTTTACATTGTGGTCAAAACCTGCCAAAGAGAATTGCATCAGTCTTTTAAATGTGGCAAAAGGCTTGACCCTGCTATCTCATCAAAAGATCCAGTACTCACAATTGGGAGTTACATACTGTAGAAGGATATAACTATATCTAAGATATTTAGGGAACATCTGAATTCTTTTCCATCTGATATTTGTGTGATTCAGAAAAGGGCAATTGGGCAGGGGAGATTTTTTAGTAGTTGTGGTTGTTATTGTTTTCATATGTTTGATTGGCTAGTTGCTTGTTTTTTCCTCCTGAGTTATATGCAAAGTTGTGCATGTAAATACAAGCTATTTTAGATGAGGGCTATTTTAACAAAGCACACATAGAAACTTCTTTTTTTTTTTTTTCCTGCAGAAATTAAATCTCTAACAAGAACCCTAACAAGAGCCTCTGGAGTACAGAGGACAAGAGTTATTAATTTTATTTTATGGATGGTGGAACCACAATAAACTGTAACCTCTAAAAATAAATGCTTGTTGAAATTATCTGAGACAAATCTAAAGTCTGAGTTTCATTGACATCAGTAGGAACACAGAAATAGACCTTATGGCTTGGGTAAATACAAGCTATCGTCTGAGTTTTTCCTTAGTCTAAACATAAGCTTCACCATTTACTCACCTATTTGTAAAACTCAGACAGTTCTGCAAGTATATTCTCTATAAATAAGAATCTTCCTGATTTAATTTCAATAACTTAGTTTGGCAAAAATTTCTTGAGCACCTACTAAGCTCTAGTGACACAAAGATTAATAAGATCAAGATGTGTGTACAGCTTACTTTAATAAAGATCAAGTGCTATTTAGGAATATAAGCAAAATATCTTGAGATCAAAGATGATGGAATGATCAGGAAAGTTTTCATATGAAAAACAAGATTTTGACTGTGTCTTTAAAAGAAATGTGGCTTCCCCAGGTGGAGATAGTAGATGTGGAAGGTCATTTAAAGCAGTAATAAGAATATGAAGGTGTGAAAGTGCACAGCATATTTGGAAATACTTAGAAAATGCAAGTGATTTCTCACATGACATAGGGAGATAATGTGGATGAGAAACCAGAAAAATTGGCTAAACAACAGTGAGGAGCTTTTATTTTATTCTGACACAGAGAGGAGCTACAAGGGTGTTTACTTCTATACTCATCTGTTTGTTTTAAGAAAAGGTGCTACATATGTAATCCATCTGGGTATTGAGAAAATAACCTTGATAGTAATGAAAAAAATAAATTTGAGGGGAGAGACATTGAGTCTGGAAAAATGAGTTTTACTATATTCTGCACTAGAGGAATTATGTAAATAAAGAAAAAGACAAAATTTGAAAGTAAAGAAACTTTGTAACTAATAGGATGTGGGATTGGAGGAAAAGAAAACACTCAGAAATTAAAAAAAAAAAAAAGGTTTACAGCATGGGCAACCATAGTAGCAATGATATTAACCCAAAGGGCTAATGTAGGAATTGTATGAGAAGTTAATGTGTTTGGTTTGAGATATCTTGAATTTGAGAGACCTGAGGCAGAAAACTTGTGACAATCGTAATTCTGTATTGGTTTTGTACTGATGAGTGAATTTGGAGTTGGAGATTTAGATTTGAGGGTCACAAACCTAAGTGACAGTGAAAACAAGGGAGTGAATGAGACCCCCAGAGGAGGGGTGGAGGAAATCAACAGCTGTAGGCCAGGCTAAGGAGTGGCTGGTTCCCACCCACTGCAGTCAGGCCAATGCTCCCTGGCAGGCCTTGATGTGCCCGTCTCCTCAGGCTATGGCTGACTTCTCCTTTCATTTCTCAGGCAAATCCCTGCACATTGTGTGACACAAAGTCTTTCATAAAAGCATTCAGCTCCTAATGAAGTTCACATCGATAAAGAGAATAAAAATAGAAGGTAGAACTTTCCCCTTAGCAATTTGGTTCCATTTTATCTCCTGAAAATTGTGCTTATATATGTCATCATAGAATTCAGCATGTAAAAGCACTGCTTTTTATGAACTTTCATTACCGAGTTATATATTTTTCCTTTAGAAAATAAAAGCATTTCAGATTTTAAAAATATGTAATGTTCTTTTAGCGTCAATATTTATTTAAATCGTTCTTATCTCATTGTGTACTATAGGTAATCCTCAAAGCTAGTGAGAAATCTGTTTACACATTTACCTCCTTGGCACCATTGTCCTACATTCCATGTTGATAACTTCCTCAGAATTAGATTGCCACTTTGGTTTAGCATATTACCTACTGAAGAATCTCAGCAGTGTTAGACTACATTTCTTCTTGGCTTGGGAAACAGCATAAACCTCAACATTTTCTTTCCCAGATATCCAGGTAAAAATTTGGGAGAAAATTAGGTATAAAATCCTAACTAATGTCTTATTGATTCAACTTAATGTGTAATTAGTAGTTACCTTCCTCTGTGCCTTGTTGTAGTTCTAAACACTGTACTTAGGAGCCTAAATACTTATGGGTGTTACTAGGGAACAGAAAAGCAAGGAGGTGACACATTAATAGACAACTAGAAAAAAAGAACAACAGTAACTTCTGTGTTTTGTGACATGCGTTATAAAGAATTAGAAACAACTTCCTTCAGCATTCCTTCTAATAGAAAATTAGATGCTAGGCAAAAGGGCTAGCATACATTAAGTCACAAAGGAAGGACAACACGTGGTACATTGGAGAAACAAATCATAAAATCCTACAGAAGTGATTCTCAAACTGTGTTCTAAGGATGCTGACAGATACATGGCAAAATGCTTCCTAGATATGTTGGCTTATGTAACTTTGGGGTTAAACATTTTTATTTACAGCGGCCTTCTCAGAGCACTTGATATACTCATGTATAGCAAAACTCTAAGAGGAAAAAAAGATTCATCCTTTCACACAATGGCATAAAATAGTAAGGGAAAGTACTAGGAGTGGGGTACACTATTGGTGAACCACCCCAATTCCATGTTTCCCTTTGGAGAACTGATCTTGAGTGATTGGATTTGCTTTGCCAGTAAAGAAAAAGAAGGAGATCCCCCCGACACACACACATCCCCATCACCCCACACTCACACCAATGACTGACTGGTGCCAGAGTATGAGAGTTATGCTCCCTTGCTGACAGTAGCACCAAATGCAAAGTATAATTTGCACTCTAGTGCTCCCCCTTGGAATCAGACTGAGACTTTCACAACCTGATATTGTACCTTTGCTTTGATTCTTTCCCTTCCCTGTCTTGCTCTCTGACTCTTTTACTGGATTCTTCTTTGTGCTCTTCCTTAGCACATTCCATGCTGACAAATCCTTCTCTCGGGGTCAGTTCTAGGAATAAAACTTCAAAGATATTCAGGATTATGCTATGGAATGTCCTGAATGACAGACTAAGGGACTAAGGTTTCTCACTGAAATTTCTTGTTTTCTTCTAGATATTTGGCATGATTTGGAAATTGGCTTTTTTTTTTTTTGGCAGAATAGAATCTAAATGGAAGGAGCCAAGCCCCTAACACTTGTGGGGTGTGAGGCAAGAGTATAAATAAAACCTGTAAAATAAAGCTAAAAACTCTTAAGTGTTGTATTATCTATTCTCCTATCTTTTAAATAATTATCCAATATTGCAAATTTGTCCACATTTGCTAATTCATGGTCCCTTCAGAAATTGTAATTCAATTTGTGATTTGAAAATACAAAGAGAAGCAAAAAAAAAAAAAAAAAATGAATGCTTGTTTCAACTGGGAGACAATAATTTGTCATGCAAGAACTTTATTTTTTCTTCTTACCCTAGGTAACCGTCACTCATATCCTTCCACATTCTGAAGGAATGTTTGACTGTCAGCTACCACTCACAAACTTTCATGTCATTTGGATAGTTACTTTTTATATTTTTTTAAGGCAAAAGAGCATTTTTTGGGTCCTAAAATGTGTTTAATAGGAGAGCAGATGTGAGTTGTGCTGTCTCAGTACTGAATGTTTGACCCCAACAGCTGATGTGCCTGTGTTCCTTAATAAATTGTGTGTACGTGTGTGTGTGTGTGTGTGTGTGTGTGTGTGTGTGGTGTGTCTATAAACCTTAGGGGCTTCTAAAATTTAGGGCTAGTGCTGCATTCGCCCAGGCCTAAGAACTGTAATAAACTGAAAAGTGCTGTTTTGACAACTTTATTTGATGAACACCATGTCAATAGAAAAATATGTTGAAACAGTTTTGTTTGGTGGTTTTAAAAATAGAAATTTATACATAAAAGAATAAAGATAAGATGGTATTAAGATATGAATGATATGCATGGTTCTGAAGTTAAAATATACTTTACCTTTACATTTACACATTTTTCTCTTTCCTATGAAACTTAACATTGAAATACATTCCAGAATACATAAGCCACACCACACCTAATTTCACTAAACCTATATTTACACATTGCAAATGTTTTCCTTTTGTCTTCTTTGAATTTATTAAAGAAGACATCATATAATGCCAGTAGACCATTGTTAGCTAGTGGTATTGAAAACCAGAATTTCAAAAGTATTCTTCTAGAGACATTTATAATGAAGAGTGGTCAGGTTTAGTAATCCACAGTAAGATTAAGCTAGTGCCCCTTAAAGGACATGTTTTATTCTAGTAAAATCATAATTTCTAGCAATATAGAATACAACTTCCATGTTCTAATCTAAAAATGAAGGCATATGGTAGAGCAGAAAGAGAGTATGATAAGGAGTTAGGAGTCATGAACTGTGGCCCTGGGAGAGTTAGTAAATCACTTAACTATGACATTAACCCAGACACTTAATATCTCCTGTTTGGTAGGACCACCTCACAAATGCATCTATTGTTGCATTGAATTTTGATAGCGTATACTCAATATTTGTTGAAAAAAAGAATGATCAAATTAGTCTATTTGGATCTCTGCTTCCAGAAATATAGAAGATACTACTACTACTGAACGCTCTGTTGTGTTTGTGTACGTTTGATTCTGGATTGAAAATGATTCAGTAAAGATAGAACCTCATTATATTGTTCCCTCTAACATTTTGAGATGGTTTATACCTCTTTCAGTTTTCTAAACCAGCAGGTATCTAGACCCTAAAAAACTACCTGCAGTGTAATGGTTAATGGTAACTTGAGTGGGATGTGATAATAGAATCCTAGGTAATTAATCTGTACTTCCTTTACTATTTCTCAAATTTTTGTTACACTGCAATGCATTTACACTCCTGATTCAGAACTTCAAGTTCTACTCCTACTGTGAAGAAAAAAAAAAAGTGCATAAGCTATCTTGGGATTTTCAAAATGCTGTGCATCTTGTGCCTGTACAAATCATAAGACTCTTTGTCTGCACCTCATGTAACTTGCATCAAAAAGTAGAAGTTCTTCTCTGAAGTTTTAAAGACACGTTAACATGCATATGCTTAAAAGAAAACGATCCATGAATTACTGAATTTTCCAACATGCAATCTTGCCCAGCCTTGGCTCTCAATTCTTTCAAAACTCTTTGCTTTCCTGATATAAACGCCATGTGCTGGTTTCATTCATGGCCGAGCAAAGGTTTCGCCCAACTTTATAATGGTTTGCATTGACTTCAGATGAGATTGCCTCTGCCAGAGTAGCTTAAAAAATGTTTATGTTGATATAACTCAAGCCCAGGCACCATTTCTCCTCATTTTCCTTTCAATGTGCTTTTCAAAAATTATGGCATATGTCTGCCTGAAAGTCGGAAACATTTTTGACAATAACTTGGAACTTTCTCTAACCTAATACACTAGATTTAAAGTGAATTATACCGCCATAGGTTGACATGGAGCCATTTTAATAGCAGGTAGTTGACCTGAGAACTCCAAAGCAATTGCTTACATATTGAATTATCTTATAGCACAAGACAGCAAAAGCTATGGTTGGCAGAGTAATTGGTAATTATGTTTTTAAAGGAAGTACACCCATGTTGTCCAGTTAAAAGATGGAAATATAGAATAGTAAGGTTTAAAATCTTAGACAATTATTTAAAAAGAAAAAATAGAATAATAAAACGCAATACAGGACTAATGAATGTAGACCAATGTGAAATGTTTTTAAAGCCCTCACTTTTTCACATGGGGAAAAAAATGTTTCCTTTTGTTTGCAAATTTTTTAAGTTTAAATAGGTAATCTCAAATATTTCAATAAATCTGCAACTTTAGATTCAAACTTAACACATGTCTACTAAATGAAATATACCGGAGAAAGTAAAGATTTTTCTTGACAATAAAACAAATTGGTTTATCATAAAGTGGTAAGCAAAATGATATAGACCTTGTAAAAGTGCTGCAGGAATTCCAAATGTAAAGTGTTATGTCTCTGATTTTTATCTTTTTTCCTATGATGGAATTTTATATGACATAAAATTTTATATGTTAATTTTAATTAACATCTTGTTCCAAGAGACCAACAATGGATAGGTTGGCCCTGCTTTCTTACTCCTGGAAATAACAAACAAGTGGAAGAAAAAGATCCTGGTCAGAATTTGTTCCTTTGGTTGTAATTTCTGGGAGACATCTAGAACATCACAGACAGGTGTGATTTTGAAACACAATTTTCTAGTAAATTGGTTGGCTCAAGATGTTAGTAAAAATATACACATAAGGGAAAAATGCTGGAATTTGGAATTCCATATTTTTCTATATAACATAATTTGGATCAGCTACTTGAGGCCTTCCCCCAATGCTAACCAGAAGTTTCTAAATTTGTACTGTACCACAGATTTGAGGATTCCAGGCTATCTATGAGATTTGGGACAACACAAGCAAAGGTATTTTGTTTTATTTTAATATCTCAAAATGGAATTGGAGAGATAAACCATACAAAAAAAAAAAAGCATTAAGGGACAAGGCAGAGGCAATACATAACTGTTTTTGGTGCCAGAATTCCAGTTTAGTAGTTATAGTTCCCTTTGATCCTGTGATAACTTCTAAAAAGGTAAAGATCTTTCTCAAAGTTGACTGCTGGGAGTCAAAATGGTACAACCACTGATTGGTGATGCTTCCCAAAAATGCACATATTTATACCTAAGGTCCAGTGATTATTCTTCTCAATGACCCAGCAATTCTATCTCCTAGTTGTATACTCAGAAAATGTATACATATCTGCACCAAAGACATGTACAAAAGCCTTCACAGCAGGTCTATTCATTACAGCCTCCAAACAAGGTGAAATAATACAAACATATGATCAATTGTGGTGTATTTCTGCAATGGAACACTATAGGACAATGAGAATGAATTATCATTTTTAGCTAAAAAGATCCATTCTAATATTATTTCATCAGTTATGATGTTTGACAAAACTTACTTGATATAAAAAGTAAGTTTTGTTTTATTTAAATTCTTATCAAAATGTGTAGTAAAAGTCATTGTTCACTATTCCTCTATGCTTACTTTGGTAAATTATTCATATAGTGACAAAAAATAAAAAGGATCAGTTGGACACAGACGGTAAATTACAAACTCTTTATCCTGATGTATTGTGGCTTAAAAACATTCGTATTAAAAATATACATGCATAGCTCCGAGATATTGTGGGTTTAATTTCAGACCACTGCAGTAAAGCAAATATTGCAGTAAAGTGAGTCACATTTTTCTTTTTAGCTTTCCAGTGCATATGAAAGTTGTGTTTACAGTATGTAGTATACTATTAAGTATGCTATAGTGTTACGTCTAAACAAACAATGTACACACCTTTATTTAAAAATACTTTATTGCTAAAAAATACTAACAATCATCTGAGCCTTCAGTGAGTCACAGTCGTTTTGGTTGTGGAGGGGTCTTTCCTCCAAGTTGATGGTACTGACTGATTAGGGTGGTGGTAGCCGAAGGTTGGGATGGCTGTGGTGATTTTTTAAAATAAGACAACAAGGAAGTCTGCTGCATTCATTGACTCTTTCATGAAATATTTTTCTGTGGCATGTGATGCTGTTTGATAGTAGTTTACTCCCAGTAGATCTTCTTTCAAAATTGGAATCAGTCCTCTCAAAGCCTGCCGCTGCTTTTTTTTTTTTTTTTTTTAGACGGAGTCTTGCTCTGTCGCCCATGCTGGAGTGCAGTGGCGCAGTCTCGGCTCACTGCAAGCTCCGCCTCCCGGGTTCATGCCATTCTCCTGCCTCAGCCTCCCGAGTAGCTGGGACTACAGGCACCCACCACCACACCTGGCTAATTTTTTGTATTTTTAGTAGAGATGGGGTTTCACCATGTTAGCCAGGATGGTCTCAATCTCCTGACCTTGTGATCCGCCCCCCTAGGCCTCCCAAAGTGCTGGGATTACAGGCTTGAGCCCCTGTGCCGGGCCTGCCACTGCTTTATCAACTAAGTTTATGTAATGTTCTCAATCCTTTGTTGTCATTTCAGCAATGTTCATAGCATCTTCACATGGAGTAGGCGTCATCTCATCCGTAAAAAGCTACTTCTTTAAGTTTTATCACACAATTGCAGCAATTTGGTCACATCTTCAGATTCCACTTCCAGTTCTATTTCTCTTTCTACTTCGACCACATCTGCAGTTACTTCCTCCTCTGAAGTCATAAACTCCTCCAGGTCATCCACGAAGGTTGGAGTCAACTTCCCCCAAACTCCTGTTCATGTTGATAATTTGACCTCCTCTCATGAATCCCAAATGTTCTTAATGGCATCTAGAATCATGAATTCTTTCCAGAATGTTTTCGATTCACTTTACCCAGATCCATCATAGGAATCAGTGTCTCTGGCAGTTAGAACCTTACAAAATGTATGTCTTAAATAATAAGATTTGAAAGTCAAAATTACTCCTTGATCAATGAGCTACAGAATGGGTGGAATAGGTGTTGTGTTAGCAGGCTTAAAAACAGCATTCATCTTCTTGGATATCTCCATCAGACCTTTAGGGTAAACAGGTATATTGTCAAGAAATCTTATTTTCTGAGCTGTAGGTCTCAATAGTGGGCTTAAAATATTCAGTAAACAATGCTGTAAACAGATGTACTGTCATCCAGGCTTTGTTATTCCATTTACAGAGCATGAGTAGAGTAGATTCATCAAAATTCTTAAGGGCCTTAGAATTTTCAGAATGGTAAATGGGCATTGGCTTCAATTTAAATTCACCAGCTTCATTAGCTCTCCACAAGAAAGGCACCCTATTTTTTGAAGCTCTGAAGCCAGGCATTGACTTCTCTCATGCTATAAAAGTTCTAGATGACATCTTCTGCCAATAGCAGGATGTTTTGTCTACATTGAGAATCTGTTGTTTAGTGTAGCCATCTTTATCAATGATCTTAGCTATATCTTCTGGGTAACTTCCTGCAACCTCTACATCAGTGCTTGTTGCTTCACATTACACTTTTATGTTTAAGATGGCTTCTTTCATTAAACCTCATGAACCAGCATCTGGTAGCTTTAAACTTTTCTTCTGCAACTTCCTCACTTCTCTCAGCCTTCAGATAACTGAAGAGAGGTAATGCCTGTGGATTAAGCTTTGACTTAAAGGAATGTCATGGCTGGCTTGATCTATCCAGACCATTCAAACTTCCTCCATATCAGCAGTAAGTCTCTGTCCCTTTCTTATTATTCATGTGTTCACTAAAGTAGCATTTTCAATGTCCTTTAAGAATTCTTCCTTTGTATTCATAACTTGGCTAACTCTTAGGCACAAGAAGCCTAGCTTTCAGTCTATCTCAGCTTTTGACATTATTTCTTCACTAAGCTTAATCATTTCTAGCTTATTTAAAGTGAGAGATGTGTGACTCTTCCTTTCACTTGAACACTTAGAGGCCATTATTATTGGCCTAATTTTAATATTTTTATGTCTTGGGGAATAGTGAGGCCCTAGGAGAGGAAGAGAGATGGGAGAATGGCCAGATGGTGGAGTAGTCAGAAGACACATATTTATTGATTACATACACTATCTTATATGGATGCAGTTGATGGTGCCCTAAAACAATTATAATAGTAACATAAAAGATCACCATGGAAGATAAAATAGTAATAATAAAAATGTTTGAAATACTGCAAGAATTACTAAAATGTGACAAGAGACACAAAGTGAGCATATGCTATTGTAAAAATGGCACCAATAGACTTGCTGTACAACAGGGTTGCTGGAAACCTTCAATTTGTAAAAGATGCAATATCTGCAAAGTGCAAAAAAGCAAAGTGCAATACAATAAGGCATGTCTATATGTAGTGTTTCAAGGTTTTAAGAAGGCTGGCATTTTATTTAAGGTGACTTCCCATTTTGGTTTTTTGAGAAATGAGTGAAAACAAGTCTCAACTTCAATATGATTACATTTTGCAAAACTGAGAACTTTGTATTGGGAAGAAAAACGATGCTTGTGATGGTTAATTTTATGTGATGACTTGATTGGACTAAAAGATGTTCAAATAACTGGAAAAACATTACAGTTCTTCCTAGATGTATAGGAGGGATTGGTTCCAGGACCTGCTACATATTCCAAAATTTGCATATACTCAAGTTCCACAGTCAGTGCTGAAGAACCCACATATATGGGCCTGACAAACACTGTTTTTGATCTGCATTTGGTTGAAAAAAATCCATGTATAAATGGACCTGCACAGTGCAAACCAGTGTTGTTCAAGGATTAGCTGTATTTCTTGGTGTGTCTGTGAGAATGCTTCTGGAAGATATTAGCATTTAAATAGGTAGACGGAGTATAGAAGGTCACCTTCACCAATGTGGATAGGAACCATCTAATCTGTTGAGGGCCCAAAGTGAACAAATGGGAAAATACAACAAATTTGCTCTGTTCTTGAGCTGGGGCATCTATTTTCTCCTGCCCTCACACATCAGAAGTCCTGGTTCTTGAACTTTTAGACTCCAGGGACTTACAGAAGTGGGCCACTCTGTTCTTAGGCCTTCAGACTCAGAGTGAATTATACTACCAGATTTCCTCGTTCTCCAGCCTGTATATCATGGGACTCTTTGGCCTCCATAATCACGTAAGTCAATTCTAATAATACATCTCCTTTTTTACATCTCTATTTATCTATAGATATCCTATTAGTTTTTTCTGGAGAATACGTAACTATTGTTATTTAACATACATGGAGAGGAATAAAAAAGAGAAACAATATTGAGTGTGGAATGAAGAAAGTAGAAATAAAGAATATCTAATCTTATATTTGATACTTCAGTTGTAGCAGAAGTCCAATAAGTTCCCTGAAAATTTATTATTTTAAGTGAAATATATAGAAGTGACAAGAGTTGCTACAAACTCTCTACACATGGTTGCTCCAAAACTTCAATATCTGCAAAGTGCAATATAATAAGTTATGCTTGTACATAATTTTTCAAGGTTTTAAGGCTGGGATTGCTTTTAATATAACTAGAGAGTTATCTAGTACATAAGGCCATCCATCCATACAAGTATTCTTATCATAAAAGAAATGTTTGAAATTGACAGTGAATGCTTTCAAAAGGTGAAGTAGTGGTCTCCTAGAACTGGCTTCTACAGGCTTATGAGAGCAATAGTTAAATTTAGAAAAGTTTTACAAACCAGTTTCTAAACAATCATCATTAAAAAAAGATATAAACTTATAATTAAATGAATTACATCATAAAAATGGTAATACAGATTCAAAATCCATCACTTTCTAATTATTTTACGTTTTTCTGTTATCTACGTTCTTGGGGCTATTTAGGTCTATTGTATCTGTATGGTGCAAATGACATAATTATGGGTTTTTCCTATTCTACATCCAGTAACATCAAGCTGGTAGTTGAAATCACCCATTGTGAACCATTTACAGCATGGAAATTCAACAAATATTACAAAAATATCAACACACATTCATGTCAGAATGACTCTCATTCATTCATCATAGGCTAGTTTAGCTGCGTATAAGAAGTCAACCACAATCGACAAAAATTTAGTTATGTTCATTGTGCAATACAGGGTACTGTGTATTTTATTTGTAAATTGTATGTTACACATATTTTATATCAGAACATTTTATAATAAAGTTATACATATACATGCATGCTTTTTTTCAGAAAGCTGATCATTAAACTTTTCTAGGGCACCAATGGATATAAGGGATTCATCACATTACGTTTATATTTTCTGTATTTCAATGTTTTGTGATCCTGTCACATAAACCTTTCTAGCCATTTTTACTCTGTCCAGTGATGGCCAATATAAAAGATCAACTTTAGAACCCTGCATTGTGGACATTGGAGAGACCATGGAGTAGTGAGAATGAAACCACTGTGGCTTGGTTATTCAAATACAGGATCCAAGGGTTATTTTGCAGAAACTGTCGGAGAGGTATACTCCCTTCCTCAGTTCCACAACACAACCTCAGACTGCCCTTCAGAAAATTCTTGTTCCTTTTCTAGGAAGAGATTCATTTCAGGGAGTAAAAAAATAAAGGTGAACAGAAACAATGTATTCAGTAGCAATGTCTTTCCCTCCAAACTCTTTAACTAGAGCTCCCTCACCCAAACGTTTTGTTTTGTTTTATTTTGTTAGGAAGGGAGTGAGTTCAGTGTTTCAATGTGGCAGTAATTGTTATTAATTGTTATTTAAAAAAAATGATTCCATATATGAACCTAGCTTTAAGATCAGTAGACAAACTTGAGTGCTTCTACTCACATTGGGGAAATTTCTCACAAAAAAAGAAGGAGACAATTCAAATTGAGTAAAAATTTAAGCGTGGTAGTTTATTTATTGAACATAGAGGTTTAATACATAATTTAAAATCATTTAAATGAACATAGAAGTTTTTAAACATCAGTTTATTTGTATAAGAAGCTGTATGTTAGTGTTCTTCAGAGAAAAAAAAAAACAAAAGAGGAGATAGCTCCCAACACACACACACACACACACACACACACACACACACACACACCCCCCATCAATTATGGGAATGGACTAATGTGCTAATAGAGGGTTAGCAGTCTCATGATCTGCCTTCTGCAAACTGGAGAAACAGGAAAGCAGGCAGTGAAATTCAGGCCAAGTCCAAAGACCTGAGAACCAGAAACTCTGATACCTGAAGTCAGGAGAAGATAGATGCCCCAGCTCAAAAAAAGAGAATTCATTCTTTCTCTGCCTTTTTGTTCTATTCTGACCCTCAATGGATAGGACGATGCCTGCCCATGTTAGTGATTTTCTTACTTAGTCCACTGACTCAAATGCTAATCTTTTCCAGCAACATCCTCAAAGACACACCCAGAAATAATGTTTTACCAGTTATATGGACTTCCCTTACCCTAGAGAAGCTGACACATAAAATTAACCATCACAGACTGTGAAGGGTGGCAGAATATGTCACCCCAAAATATGCTAGTTTGGTGTAAAGATTATTTTGAGCTAAAGGCCCTTGAAAAACAGCAAATGCAAGAAGGGCATTCCAATCTCCTCTTTTCTTCCTGCAAACAGGAGACAAAAACTCCCATGTGAAAGATGCGCTCCCTGTACCAGAAGAGAAGAAACATTCTTGTCACCGGAGATGAGGAGTTGAGACTAAAAAAAAACCTGTACAAACAGACCTTGTTAAAATAACTCTTATCTTCCTTGAGCCTCCCCACACATTTTAGTTACTTTTCCACAATTGTCACTCTTTATTCAATCTGCTATATAAGCATTTGGGTTTTTACCACTTCTTAGGGTCTTTATTTTCCTATGGCAGCTCCCATGTACATGTAAAAAGTCTGTGTATTTTTCTCCTGTTAATATATTTTATGCCAATTTAATTCTCAGGCCCAACCAGAGGACCTAAGAGCATGGAGGCAAAGTTTTGCTTGCTCTGTAACTGAGATGTCAGGATTATCTGATAAAGCCTCCTTGATCAAGAAGGTAATCCCAAGTTAGAATGAAATCTTTACAGAAAAGGGGGATCCACATTGCAATTAAATTGCTTGTAATAGTTTCTGGTTACACCCTAGTGGTAAAAAGTACAGCTTCCTATAAGTGGTGATTAAAAATAAAAGTCTAGAATTATCCACACTTCACTTGATTACTATTAGAGAGCCAATAGGCTGTTTTCCTTTCATTAAGGGAGGTAATGTTCCTAAGGAATTAATGAGATTTTTCATCAGTTCTCATGGTATGTATAAAGTTCCTAGAAACAACTCATCAAATGGTCATTTGTACCCACTCTAGAACACGCATACCAGAGACCTACCAGTGATTGTCTCCTCCTTTCCACTTTGCCCTGAGTAAACAAAAGAGCAAGGCCCATTTTAACCTAAAAAGGATTCACATTTTCAACTAACTTTAAAAATTAAGATTCTTTTTATTTTTTTAAATTTATTTTTATTTTTTGAGAGAGTCTCACTCTGTGACCCAGGCTGGACTGCAGTGGCGCGATCTTGGCTCACTACAATCTCCAACTCCGGGATTCAAGAGATTCGTGTGCCTCATCTTCCCTAGTGGCTGGGATTACAGGCACCTGCCACCACTCCCGGTTAATTTTTGTATTTTTAGTAGAGACGGGGTTTCATCATGTTAGCCAGGCTGGTCTTGGACTCCTGACCTCAAGTGATCCACCCACCTCGGCCTCCCAAAGTGCTGGGATTACAGGTGTGAGCCACTGCGCCTGGCCGATTCTTCTTACTAATCAGAAAGGGTTCTCCCTTTTGAAAAAGATATAACAATTTTTAACATTTCATGTTAGAAACAGTGTGAGGTTGTCTTGTACATGGTACATAAACTCAGATGACAGGCAGAACCCTCAACTTGTTCCTGAAGTCTCTCAAGAGCCTAGTGACATCTCAGCCACCTGCACTATGCAAATAGACCCAAGGTGTCAGGAGGATGCTGCAAGGACCAGTTCCAGCACATTCCATTCCATTTGCTCAAACTCAATACCTGAAAGACAAAAGAATCTCTTACCAAACTTGATAGTGTTAAACTTTTAGGGACCTACATTGGAAAGTTAATACAAAAGTGTGTTAATTCACGAGGCAATATTTCAGAAAACAGCTGAAGACAATAGAAAATATTTTTTCCCCACTTCAAGAGAAAGTCCCAGTTATTTAGAATATGAAATCATAAAATTCAAGATAAGGAGAAAACCCCCAGAATTTATTTGATCATTCAGGTTCTCTCGAATGAGCCAACATGTACCAGTAGAAAAAAATGAAGAGAAATCTTTCCACATTGAGAAGCCTATTTAGTCAGCAGATGACTCTCTAAATGTTACTGTTAAATTACCTGTGCCTGTACTTTTAGCCCCAGGGGGGTAAATAAGCCTCAGGGTTTAAACAATTCATCACAGCACCTAGATTTGTTTACAATAAAATCATATTTTCACCAAAACTTTTTCATCCTAATACTGTGTCCAATGTATACTTCTAATGTAGAAGGTTGAAAGTATTTTTTTTCCAATGGAAAAAGGTGCTTGTGACTCAATTTTCTTATACTTCACAGTCCTAAGTTACTTGGTTGAGGGTTTATTGTACTAATTTATTTTGGGTGAACCCCATACACTTAACAAATCCTTCTTTAGCCAAAGCAACTTGATCTTTTTTTGACCAAAACAAATCAACCAAATCAGAAAGAGGTGGGAAGAGAGTACTTTTTTCCCCTGGAAGATTAAAAATGCATGGTTGAATAGATTATTAAAAAAATTACGAACTTAGAAATCACAGGTGAGTAAGGGGAGAGAAGGAGAATTTGACAATAAAAATTTCAAAACTTTTAGAATTCAATGTATTCTTTGCTGATTCTAGCTGGTCCAGTATATATAATAATCAAAGAACAAATTCTGAGTAGTGGTGAAGAGATTTAAACTAGGGGCTTTTAGGTACAGATTCACATTATAAAGCCTTGGTTCCTGCACGTCCCTGGCTTTTTCTAAGAATTTTTTGTAAACCTGAAGAAAATTTATAATTAAAGAAGAAAACTCCCTTCATCCCAATCAGCAAAGCAGGTGCCTATACTGCTATGACTGTGACTTCTACACTATAGTCTCCACGCCCCATTCCACCAAAAAAAGTAAAAGTAAAAGAAGAGTCTCACCTGATTAACTGTGAATTCCTGTGCAGAAATTTTTAGTATTTTACTAAAAAGGAAAGTTGGTCACCTTGAAAGTACATAAAGTGCAATCCTATTTAGAGCAATGGTGAAATCAAACATGGTGTGCTCACTGGGAAGTTTGCAGCGTTTGACAAATTGTAATTCTGTTCTTTGCAAACTTCTAAACACTTCCTGCTAAGTGACAACAAGCTTCAGCAAGTTTCCACAAACCTTCTGCAGCTTCTTCATCTCACTATAAAGAACAGATGCCTTTTAGGGGCTGCTGTGAGCTCTTCTGTTCTCTGTACAATATGTACACGTACAAAAAGGAATTCACATTCGATGAAAATGTGATAGTCAAGGCCTCCAGAAAGCTTTTGCAGTAACTGCACAGCATTTCAACAGCTGGCCTAATTCAAGGGCTCTCTGTCAATCATGGAAAAATGTGACAGACTTGTGACTTTGTGGCAAAAGCAACAAAATTTACAGTTTGAGAGAATTACATCAATAACAAAATAATTTGTGTTGTTAAAATATACAAAGATGCTTCCATTTGTTTTCTAACAAGTTTAATTAAAATGAATGTATATTTTCATATTTAATATTAGAAAACTGAAAAGTAGATAAAGTTCTAGTCATTTTAATTCAAATCATTAGGGCAAAAAGTATATATCTGGCAATATTTTTATGAGAGATTAATGCCAATAAATTCAAGTCAAAAAAAGAACTCATGCATTATGGGAAAATCACAAAGTTTACTGTGTACTTGATTTTCAAGTTTTTTTTAAGTGAACTCAGTTTCCAAAATATTAATCTACTCATAGAATTCACAGGTCATATTTACCAGCACATAAATTTATTTTATAATATTTTAAATCAATTTTTGATTATTCAATTTAAAATTTTATCTAGTATTCTTTTAAACCAAGTTTCTTTCAGAATTTGTATTCTATTCAATACAATAAAAATTGTAGTTCAAAAGAGTTATTCTCAAACATTCTTGTTGGTATTATCTTAATCTTCAGCTTCATCTGTGATAATTGTCAAAAATAGCAATTACTGGAATTACTCTCTAAGAAAGTTAAAGTAGCTGATCTAAATTAGGGATCCTTAGATAATAATTAGAATCAGGCAAGTTTGTCGCACATTGCTCTAAAAATAAATATGTAAATATATAAATAAATACATATAAACAAATAATTGAGAAAACAGTTGTCCAGGACATTTAAATAATCATTAGTAGTTTAACTTGAGGACAACTGCGGAAAAAAAATAGTAACTTCGAAAAAGAAAAGTAACTTTATAGTAACTGAATGATTTCTACAGCTACTCCTTTAAGCAAGAAATAAAAAAAAGTACGGAGTTTGGAATACTAGTCAAAAAGAAGGAGAAAAATGATAGTTTTCTTAAACATGCATATCACATGTTTTATTAGGTAAATTTTGGTACAAAATGTCATATTACATACACACATTACTATAATTTAATTTTGTCACTCAAACTGCATAATTTGGGGTGGGATGGCCAATGATACAAATGGTTTTCTTGGGACACATATTACATATGTGATACCATAAATTTCTTTGCACCATCCTTTTCAGAATTTTGCATACACTGGGTTTTCATAATTGGCATCTTCTACTTTACAGTTTGGGTTATAATTGATAATCATAGTATATTTTATTTCCAAAACTATGATCAATATTTTCAGTTAGTGATTCATGTTATTTTTGTTCACTTTAATTAATTACCTAATTAAGTTAGCAAATGTAGTAAGTGTGAGAGGCAAAGAATATACTGCTCTAGCACTTATTTGTTCTGTGATATTTGGCAAGATTTTTAACATCTCTGAAGCTTGCTCTCATCTATAAAATAGGGTTAACAAGGTTACCTGACTTACAGTGTTGTTATGAGGATTAAGTGAATTAAAATATTTAAAGCACTGACAATATGGTCTGACACATGGTCAGTGCTCAATAAATATTAATTATTAGTAGCAGAATTGAGATGCTGTGTCTTCTCATAAAACATGGTCCCTATAATGACCATATAATTTATCATCCAAACCAGAAAGCTTATGAGAATAATATATAGCATGATTACTAATTTCTTGGGAACAAAGGTGAAAACCTTGACAGTCCCAGGAAAATAGAACTATATAATCACCCTCTGACCCTTATATTTCAATGAGTATAAGTTTTAATTATTTTAGAAAAAAATAGACTTAATTGAAATTAAGTTAGGATAGAATTTACAGAACTTTGGAGCTGGAAGAGACTTTAGAATCACATAGCTTCATTTCACTATTTTATAGACAGGAAACTTGAGGCCCCAAAACCTGAAAGGAATTAATCAAATTCTTAATGCAAAATCAAATTCTAAGCTGACTAAAAGAGCCAGAGTGACTTGGTTGCAAATTATCTTCAAAAGATAATTCAGTACAATATTTTTTATTTTATCTTGTTTTTCATGAGAAGGAACTACTAAAATCTAAGCAGTGAATGAAGTATATTCAGGCTGTATTTTATTGTTGGGGGTCAATTTTAGAAAGGAGAGAGATTATGGGGAGGGAAACAGAAAGGAAATGATGTCACTCAAGGCTAAATGGACACTTGTGGATTCAGTCAAAGCCTCTTCAGGAGGGGACTGAGTATATTTTTTACAGTCCTCAGGTGAATATAATATGTACACTAAATATCAGATTGAAGGGATTCTCTTTCTTTCTTAAGACAATTATATGCTAATTTTGTTTAGGAAGAACCATTCCTTCCTACCCTCAACTCTCTGCTGAGCTTACAACTGATTCTACTTTCAGGTTGCCAAGATGGAACCAGTGGCTCAAAATAAACCAAGCCACACACAGAGAATCCCTTGTGGTTGCTGTAGGGCTGGATGGAGAATGCTAGTCAGGCCAATCAGAGTCAAGGAAGGACTTGCATTTCAGCTACAGGAGAGCATCTTTCACTGGACTACAGCGTTGATAGTAAACTCAGGATTGTACCACTTTAATGGAAGTGAAGTCTGATGTCAGCTACATTTGGTACCAGAAAGTTTTCAGGAGCCAGTGAACACTATTTTGTGCAATCCAGTAAGGGCCAGATTTCCTATCACTTGCAACTTATCTGTAAATGTATCTATGTCAGCTCGCTGAACACCAAAGTTGAGGAAGGCCCATGATTGCATGAGGAGGAGGAACTAGAACAGGCCTGGGCCTGCAGACAGAACTCACCGGTTGATGGCAAGTAGGAGGAAAACAAGGCAGGACTTTAATACAACCAGAGCAATGATTCTCAGACTGGCTGTGCATTATTATATTCACCTGCTGACTTTTCAAACCATACCTAGCCCTTCTCCCCAGAGATTCTAATTTAATTGATCTGGCCTGCAGCCCATATCTCCTGATTCATTGATTCAGGGTTGAGAACCACTGACCCAATCAATCAAGAGAACCAAATCAATTCTGAAAATTCCTCACTTCCTGCTGACCAATACGGAGTCTTCTAGTGCAGTGACGACAAGCCTGGGTCGTGGCCTTATGTGCACCTGAATTTTAATCTTGCACTGCTTCTTACCAGTAAGGTACTTTGCACAAGTCTCTCAAGCTCTTGAAAGGTGAAGTTGTTGCTGTGTAGTATACATAATGGACATTAAGCCCTCACACATTACTGGGAGGATTGAATGAAATAGTATACATAAAGCTCTTGCACCAGGCATGGTGGCTTATGCCTGTAATCCCAGCACTTTGGGAGGCCGAGGCAGGTAGACTACTTGAGTCTAGGAGTTCAAGACCAGCCTGGGCAAAATGACAAAACCCATCTATTTAAAAAAAAAAATATGAAAATAATCCGGGTGTGGTGGCATGCACCTGTAGTTCCAGCTACTCAGGAGGCTAAGATGGGAGGACTGCTTAAGCCTGGGAGGTGGCGGTTGCAATGAGTTGAGATCGCAACACTACACTCCAGCCTGGGTGATAGACCTAGACCCTGTCCCCCTGACAAAAAAAAAAAAAAGAAGAAAGAAAAAGAAAAAAAAAGCTTTTGAAACAGAGATTGACATAAGTGAGCACTCAAATGTCAGCTGTATGTGGTAAGTAAGTAATAGTACAAATGGTGACATTTCTGTCAGAGAATTCGGTGCTATGTAAATAGTGAATATGTGACTTTGGACAAATAAATTTCCCTTCTGATTATCAGTTATTTAAGCTATTCAATAGTATAATAAAATATGCATTAAAAATATAAATGTGCATCTTTAGTTGGTTCTGTGTATCATATATGTGAAAGTTCCTAGTACACAATAGTCACTTAAATCTTTGCTATCTTATATTTTTATTTAATTTCCTTAAATCACAACTTTTCCCACTATGGAAAAAAAATGTTAAACTTATTTGTGGGAAGTTTTACATAAGCATGTGAAAGGCATTGTATTAGTGTTCTCCAGAGAAAGAAAACCAATAGGATAGAGATAGGTGATGATTAATTGATAGATGGAAAGATAGATAGATAGATAGATAGATAGATAGATAGATTATTATGAGGGATTGGCTTACATGATTATGGAGACTGAGAAGTCCCATTATCTGCCTTCTGTAAGCTAGAAGAGCAGGGTAGCCTGAAGTACATATCCAGTCCAAACCCAAAGGCCTGAGAGCCAGGAGTGCCAATATTTGAGGACAGAAGAAGATGGATGTGTCAGTCAAGCATAGGGAAAATTCGCCCTTCTTCCTCCTTTTTGTTTTCTTCGGTCCCTTAGTGAATTGGATGACACCCATCTGCATTGGTGAGGGCATCTTCTTTACTCAATCTATTGATTCAAATGCTAATCTCTTCCAGCAACGCCCTCACAGACACATCCAGAAATAATGTTTTACCAGCTATTTGGGCATTTTTTAGTTCAGTCAAATCATCATGTAAAACTAGCAATCACATTCATGCTGGAAAATTGATTCCCCTTGGTGAAGTGCATATTGATTCTTCTAAAATAACACTAATCACAAATAGCCAGTGGCAGAAAGCTACAAAACAACAGCATTATCAAAGAAAGGTAGTACACAAGAAGTTAAACTTATCTTCCAAAATAGCATGGTCGGGATGGATTCAAAAGTATGTAAAAGCATTTCTTGCAGACGAATAAGAACAAACATAGGGTGATTTCTCTAGCAAATTTTGGTAATCCGTCCAATTGACAGAGCAAATGTTGAGCTGCTTCAAACATAATCAGTCCACATGCCAGCACCACAGTGCCGGGTTCAGGGGTTGGATGAAATAATTGGTTGTTTTATGAGCAATAAAATACATACATACAAACATATACACACACAGACACAAAAGAATAAAGTAAAATAATGAAGGTCAACTCTAAATAGAAATATTAGTTGATGACATTTCCCCATAAGCTCCTACTCTTAAGATTGAAACATTGAGCTACTGCAGTTTTGTGTACTTCCAGGGTATTTTTTAAGAGTTCACCTAAACTAGGAGCAGAACTGCCACTGACTACTGCCTTGTTAGAGCACCGGATAACCTACATAATTAGCAAAGGACTATGAGAGTAAATCCTGGCTTAGGAAGTGAAAGTGGAAGTTAGAAAATGGAATTTAAAAAACGAATAGGCAAATAATTATTCATCAAGTAGTCTTTGATTTTCTGGTGTGAAATAAGACCAGACATTGAGCAACACAGACATAATTGTGACAGGTGAGTTTTGTGAAATGTAGGTAGAAGGTAAGTTTATTCTCTGGGAGTGAGGTGTCAGCTCCTGGATGAGGCTTATGTGACTTCTCCAATTGCATTCACAGGAATTCTGGATGTGTCAGCCAGGTCTGTGTACTGTTTGCACTCAGCCTCAAGTCTCAGTTTTGAAATACGTAAAAATCACCAAATTTTACAGTCTCATGTGAGATTATGAACATTTTTCTTTCTTGGTTTTAATTATTAGAAATTGTTAATTGACCTGTATAAGTGATATCCGTTGCATTTCTTAAGTAGCTGAGCTCTGATGTGAACTCATTTCATTGTTAATGAAGAAAGGAGTGTTTGCTTCAGTAACTTGAGTGTGACAGAAATGTCAACGAAGAAAAACATAACAATTTTATCCCTGAAACAAAGAATAATTTTTCTGCTGCATATTTTTTTTCATTGCAGCACCATATGATGTACAACCATATGATCTAAAAATCTGGTTTAGTTCACTCCTCTGAAAATCTCAGAGATTAGAAATATTCTTATTCTTTCTTAATTACCTTGCTCATTTCCAAATTAAATCTCTGTTTTTTTAACAATCAATTTGCATTCAAATTCCGAATTTCTTCATGGCAGTAGGCCAGGAACTAAAGAAAATATTGTTGGTTAAAAGGACTACAAGTGAAGCTAGGGGAGCCTGATTTATTTTTGTCCATTCTCTCTCATTTGCATTGCAGGAGAGATTTTTCTCAATTTCTTTTCAGTCATTGGTTTATCTTTCTGTCTTCCTATAAACTTTAGGTAAGATAGCTGAAGGTCTTAGGATGCTGCATTTTCTACATCAGCAAAACTCAGAGTCTGTGCTATGAAAGGGGTGTAAATTTGATTATCCCAGTGTTATATAACTCTGCAGATTCTCTAAGGTGTAATGATATTTAGACGTGACAGTAAAAGCATTACAATTCCACCAAGTGTTATACAGAGAAACCACGCACGGCAAAGGCTGAACTTTCTCAAACAGCTAGTAGGAATATAATGAACTATGTTTTTCTCTACAACATTTTTATCAAACAAAAATAGCTGTTGAAATTTTGGTCACAAACTTGAGATGCTGTTATAATATACCCATTAAGCTGACAAATAAATCCTTTACACTATTTACAAATTTTCAGTACTTTCATAGGGTATACATTAAGCAGGAATGAAAAAACTCATGTGGACTAGTATGCAGTGGATATTTTTAGTTCTTATTTGAATGAAAAAATATATTGACACATTTAGAAACTTTGGAAATTCCTTGAATTATTTTTCTTTTAAAGTGTTCATAAAGTTTAGTTTCATCATGACAGTAGTATTAGTATTAGTAGTAGTAGTAACAGTAGTTAGATGGTGTTTATAAAAATGAGCATTTCTCCTAGTATCCTTATAAAATAGGTTGTGGCGCCAAATCTATTTTTCTACAGGAAAGACAAAAATGTGTCAGAATGAAAATTTAAAGATGAAGATAGCATTTTATGAAGTTCTGACTTTATAAAATTTCCCCAGAATCCTGAAATTAATGATGGTCAAACATATCAGGATGACTTGTACTAGCAGATGTCAAGGCCTTAAAGTATAGTTATTAAGGTAGTATGGTGTTAATGCAAAGAGACATAACCAAAACATTGGAACGGATTAAGAGAGTCCATAAACAGATTCACAAATATAAGCATATAACTTACAACAAAATTTTCACTGCAGAGCAATGAAGAAACAGCAGTATTTTTAATAAATGGTATGATCGAGTTAGATATATATATAAGAAGAAAATGATTCTTAATTTCTATCATATTCCATAAACAAAAATCACTTTCAAATAATGGATCTGAATGTAAAAGGGCAATAAGAAATAAAGAATCAAGAAAAGTAATATAGAATGTTTTAATTACTTTGAATAGACAAAGATTTCTTGAAAAGCATTCGAATAGCCTTAGCCATAAGAAAAGAGATAAAGAACTTGAACTACATTAAAATTAAGAGCTTCTTTTAATCAAAATACACCATTAAGAGAATTGAAAAGCAAGTCACAAAGCAGGGGGAAAAATATGCAAATGTATAAATGACAAAGAACTAACATAAATGTTTAAAATATTCTACAAATTAATAGAAAAATACAAACAATTAAATTTAAAACTAGTAAGTATGCACTTCACAGAAGAGGATAATTAAGAAAGAGTGCTCATTCTCATTAAGTATTGGAGAAACATGAGTTAAAACTACAGTGTATTCTTAATCTGTGTTCTGCTGCTATATGGAGTACCACAGATGAGGTAATTTATAAAGAACAGAAGTTTATTTGGATCATGTTTCTGGAGGCTGGAAAGTCCAAGAGCATGGTGCTGACATGTGGCAAGGGTAGTCCCATGGCAGAAGGCATCACATAGTGAGGAAGTAACACTTGAGAGACAGAAAATGGGGGCCAAACTCATCCTTTTATCCAGAACCCACTCCTGTGATAACTCACTCACTCCTGAGTTAACTGCATTAATCCATTCATAAGCTAATCACCTCTTAAAGGCTCTGCCTCCCAATGTTGTTATACTGGCAATTAAATTGCAACATGGGTTTTAGAAAGGATATTCATACTATAACAAATGGAATACTATTGTTCAACACCAGAAAGCTAAGTTTAAAGGACTGACAATAGACCTTGTTGGTACGAATGTGGAACAACTGGAAGTCATATATATTTCTCTTGGAAGTATAAATTGGCTCAACCGTTTTGGAGAACTACTAGCAGTTTCTACTAAAACTGAACATATGCACAAACTATAACATACCAATTTCACTTTTAGATATATTCTAAAAGTGAATAGAATACCTTTGTGTGTGCACTAAAATACATGTTTAAGAATGTTCATAGCATCATTATTGATAATAGCTAAAGATGGAAACAGCCCAAATGCTCATCAACAGTAAAATGGATAAATAAATTAAAATGCTCATACAGGGAAATTTATAGAGCAATTGAAAGAATAAACAAGTACTAAACACTATAGCATGGATGAATTTAACAAACATAATGTTCAAAAGATGCCAGACATATACTGTTTGTTTCTTTTTACATGAAGTTCAAAATGAGGTATCTAAAAAATTTGAAACCAGATAGTTGGTTACCTCTGAGAAAAGGACTCATGAGTGCTGGTAATATATTATTTATTGGCCTGTGTGGTGGATATATGGGTTCACTTAGTGAAAACTTATCAATCTGTATACTTTTGATTTCTACATTTTGCTGTAAATTAACTTCTATAAAAAGTTTATTAAACAGAAATATGCATATGTATTTCAAAACTGAAATATAAGATAAATTATGCCTGGCATACTTCAACCTCCCTTCAAGGAAAGTGGGAAATTATAAAGTAGCAAAAAAAAATGCTGTGAAAATAAAATATTAACAGAATTAGCAATATTTGGGATTTTTCCACTGAGAACTGCTTCCTACAGTTACCACAGTAATGTGACACAAATCAGCTTATAGATTTTGTTAACCCTTACTGACTTCATGAAGCATGTTGGCATTGTTGGGGTATGAATATAATATTTCAATATATTACTCAGGAGTAAGTTTTCACATAAATTTGTATAATCTAAACTTCTTTCAACGTTACAGTATAATTCAAAATTACTTGTATTTAAACCTTCCCCAACTCTCACCATTATCCCAACCCACATTCATAATAAATATTGAGCAACCTTATCAAGAGACAGTGTTTGTTCTTCAGGATTTCTTTCAACCATATCCTTGGGTCTTGATATACTCTCCTATGCCTCCATAGTAAACCACTGCTTGAAATCTTCCCAAGATGAAGGTGCGCCAATATCTCAAAAATTAAAGGAGGTTTTAGCAATATTTAATAAAGTCACAGTAATGAATCAAAGAAGAAATCACTTGATAATCTGACTTAGAGAATATCAGAAGGTGACAAATTCTAACTTATTATAACTATAAAGTGTTATAAAACAAGGATGGCAAATACATGATATTTATGATATAATTGCCTTCCTCAATACATCAACACATCTCAACATAGTACATATCACTTATCTATAAGGACTCTTTTTTCCTGCAAAAGCCTAAATATCATCTCAAAGTTCTTAATACTATGATCTAGAAGGCATTTAGCAATTGTTGACATGGGAATTTTCTTATAGATTGTTTTCATAATCTATAAGAAAATTTGAGACTTACCAAATACAGTAGCCATTTTTACAAATATAGACCATTATAAGAGAGAATTGACAATATCATAAAACATCATTTTTCAGCAAATCCAAAGCAGAGACTAACACAGACCAAACAGCTTATATCTCTTTTATTTGAGAATCTCCCTGTTAAAATATATCCAAAAATGTCTTCCTGTTTCTACTTTTCACATTGCTGCTGCTTGAACATTTTGTTTGCTTGGGGTTTCAATATCGATAAACTAGTACAACTGACTTTAATTAATTAGATCAATAATATCTTTATGCAACTACATTTTTCTGGCCTGCCTAGTGTTAAATACATGTTTGTTTCACTGTCATTTTTTGCTATTTTACTACCTTAAATCAGGCTTTCCAAATTGAAAAACTTTCAAGAGATTACATCACAAATAATGAAGGCTGTATATATGCCCCAGAATATAAGCTATTCTTTCACTATGTTCATAGTGACATACTATGTTTACAGCATCTGACAGAGTCAGAATCCAATCTATATTTCCGAATGAAGAAATAGTGAAAGAGAAATCTTCAAAAATACACCAGGTTATGATAGTTTTCATCAGTCTTTGCAAAATGAGTACAAGATATACCACCTCACAACATTCTGACGTAAAAATTAGCTGTGTATCCTTAGGTTCATCCACTCTTAATGACATGGAGAAATATTTAAGATGTATGGGTGCTTACAGGAAACCCTTGCTTTAGGAAAAAGGAACAGATAAAGAGTGCTCTAATTTTTTGTGCTGAATGATGAGTGGAATTCTATAAATTTTTGAAAATTTTTATGACATCTTTTCTAGAAATAAGAAAAGCAGCTCAGTTTAACAGACTAATATATATATACACACACATTCATATATATATACACACATATGTATGTACATATATATATATACTTTTATACTTTCTTTTGAGACAAGGTTTCACTCTGTTGCCCAGGCTGGAATACAGTGGCATAATCATGACTCACTGCAGTCTCAAACTCCTCGTCTCAAGCAATTTTCCCAACTCACCCTCCCAAAGCAACTGGGACTAGAGTTGTGCACCATCACACCCAGTTACTTTTTAATTTTATTTTTCTTTTGTAGAAATGGGTCTTGCTATGTTGACCACGCTGGTTTCGAACTCCTGGCATCAAGTGATCCTCTTGCCTTAGCCTCCCAAAGTGCTGAGATTACAGGCATGAGCCACCACACCTGGCCCGATAAATATTTTTGAATGATCCTTTCTGTATCAAAATAATATTTCTAGTTAAAATAGAATGGGGTATCTTTTTACATAAATGTAGGCTCAAAATCTATGTAGACTTTATATACATTCTCAGAAGAGTTCTATGGTCATACCCCAAACGTCTTAGGTTAAATACTCTTAATACTGTGGCTCATTGAGGGGACAATACAGCAAATGCTAAAACCATAAATAAATTTTCTTTCTTAAAAAAGCATCTGGAGCTGGTATTGTCGACAGAGTCGTACTCAAGCAGGATGACGTTACTGGGTTCTAGAAACAATAGCCCTGCCCCGAAATTCATAGGCCTCTAAGCTAGGTGCACTTCTCTCCTTTTCTGTTTATATTGACTTCCAGAAGTGTCCAGTGGTATGACCCACTGATGCTTGCTTTACACTAAAGTGTAAAATACACCTGCCAACGTTCTACAGTTAGGTTCAGAGAAGCTGTTTGGTGCATATCCTCTCTGTGGGGATTTTAAAAGAGTCACATTCCCTCAAACACTTTACAATGCCTTAGAGCAGGTTTGACAAGGTGCCCAGTCAGGAGGCCAAACAGGGCTTGAGAGGCAAAACGGACTGCTATGACCTGTGTCCATGGCTGAGGAAAGCTTAAGATGAATAGTGGGACTTCAAATGGACTGTTATGGAGTATGCTTTACTATTTATTCCTCACTAAATTCCTTACGTGGGTTAGTTATGCAACATAAAATAACCACAGAATCTTTGTGGTTTCCAACAAATATTTCTTTCTCATTCATGGCTTGTGTTCACTGTGGGTCAGCTTTATCCCAGCTCCAGGTTCAGATAGCATTCTCCCTGGCATGGAGGCTGATGGAGCGGCCTCTCTATGGGGCTTCTGCGAAGCATTGTCTGTCTTGGTAGCAAAGAGAAAAAGAGAACACTGTGAATCATGCATTGGCTCTAAGCACCTCTGCTAGGAAGTGACTCATTATTTCCACTCACATTTCATTAGCTAACGCTAGTCACATGGCAGTGCCTAAGTGGAGCACTGCAGAGATACATAAGCCTCCTCTGCAGAAGGAGGTCCACAGAGAGAAGTACTGAATATCATAAAAAGTATTCCAATCTTCTGTATTAAGTCAAAGTAATTTCTACTCTCAGTTCGCGCTAGGTAGAAGGAAGCCAGAAGTCGTTTTAATCAATTCTACTACATAAATAAGGTAATAAAAGAGGAGTCATATTTATTGGAAACCTCAGGCTAAGTGCTTTACATAATTATTGCATATAATCATCACAATGCAGGGTGGTGTGACATCAGCATTCTGATTTCACAGAGGAAAATAAATGTGCTAAAGAGTAATAAAGTTATGATAAAGGCCATAGCAGACTGCAGGTAAATTCGATCCTTCAAATCAAGTATACAGAGGGACATTCTCATTGCCAAAAAATTTTTATTATAGAACTCAACTCTATGTTACAGGCACAGCATGAACATAGTCCTCGTTACAGTTGATGGCCTTGGAGGCACACCTGGTACAATTATGCTTTAAAAGACAATCAAAACATGAATACAATACCTGAGCACTTCATAAAACAAGTTAGGGACCTTATGAAACTTATGAATAAGAGAATAAAATAGAAAAAAATTAAAAAAATCATTTAAGTTACTACAACCTTAATGATCGATGTAATTAGAAAATAAAGGTAGATGGAACCTCAATTGAAAACTAATATAATTTTATAATATTTTTACTAGCTCAACAAAAGGGAAAGGAGTGACATATATGCCCCCAAGTTTGATTTTGATCAGAATCTAAAAACAACAATATATTTTTATAATCATGTGCAGGCAAATCCAAAAAACTGATTTGGTAATTAACAATTAAGCATACTTTTATGCCTCCTTTAAGTCTCTACTTTTACAACAGAATAAATAGATGTATTTTTAAAAAGAAAACACAGGAATTCCCTCTCAGTAATGCTAATCAGAAACAAATAAATATTTTAACTTCCATTCTCTGTATTTTCTCCCATCTTCATCTTTTTTTTGTGTACTATAATTCAATCCATTCTCCTAGACCTCACTCATCCCCCAAAGCCACATTTCTGGAACACATTTCATTTCTTACATTTGTTGACTATCACATCTGCAACATGATTAACTATAGTCTGAGTCTTCTATCTTCTACAGTGGTTCTTAAACCTTAGTTTCACAAGTATTACCTAATGTACTTGTGAAAGGAAAAAAATAAAATGTTGTCCTGTTTTCTTCTCCATCCTGATTCAGTGTATTCAATATAGACAGAGGCCCAGGAATCAGCAGTTTAAGTCAAGCCCTAAGGAAAATGTGATGACCTTCCTGAATCACTACTATTTAGATATTGCCCCTCCATGTAATGCCACGTTTTTATAGATCTTTCCAAAGATGTTCTGTATCAATGCTATTGTCTCAGGCTAGAATTTATTTTCACTCTAAACTGGGGAGTGAATCACTGAGCTGTCTTCTAAATTATGTATTTTTGGCTTATTATGACCCTTGAAGCTGTGAGAATGTGCATATTCAAGGTGAATTTTCAGACTCAAAAATGAATAAAAAACAGTTTCTGCTTGTTGATTGCTGATTATGAAAAACCTGAGCTGATGGAAAAGCAGTAAAAACACATGGAAACTCAGGACAACATCAAACAAGCTTAGATTGCAATAAAAAATTCTAGTTTGTTTGATGTACAATATGAAAATTTGGCATAATTTTTAAAAACCATTATAGTGATTCTGACATGCACAGTTTCAGAATAATAAATACACAATTTGGACTTTGCTGTTAAGATCTCGGTAAGAGAACAAAGAATTTTCCCAACTACATCTCTCTATATTGACCTTTATGCATTCACCCTCAAGCCAAGCCAAGACTGTCCCATAAGCCTGCCCCCGCCTGCCCCAGCTAGCTCCATATACCTTCTTCCTTTCTCACTTCCTGACTGTCCCCTAACCTCAGCATGTTCAAATTGTAAGACCCAGCTCCAATGCTACCTCCTCCATTGTATTTTCTGTATTACTCCAGCCAGATATAACCAAATCTTTCCAACTTCCTCTGGTACTTTCTGTCTGCTCTTGTATGATTAACCAGTTTTTAACCTTAAACTATGATTATTTTAATTCACAGATATATTTTTGATGATGAAGCCAGAAACAAAGACTTATTATCACTGTGTTTCCTAGAGTACTTAGTACAGACACACATTAAATGTGTAGTAAAAAAATAAATCAGTGAAGAAAGAAAGGGTACTACACTTCAATAACTGATATTTTATCTGGGTATAATTGTGTATAAGGGGAGAGACAGAAAAATGATTTCAAAGAAAATATTTTAACAAAAACAAATAAATATTTGAGTTGTTTAAAATCAGATTATCTCACACTAAACACTGTTGATATTTTTGGCCAAATAATTCTTTATTGTGGGGGCCTATACTGTATATAGTAAATTGTTTAGAATTATCTCTGGCCTCTACTCACTAGATGCCACTTTCACCCCTTCTGTCCGTGGTGACAACCAAAAAATATATCCAGAAAGTGACAACTCCTGACGAGAATGGGAAAGATGACAGAAAACTTGAGATGAGCAACTTTACTGATTTTCAACAGGGAAGAAAGGTGGATACCAAAATCCCAACTAGTCCCTAAAATATTGTTGAAATGTTTCATGTTGGCAACATTTATGAAGAAATGGTGGTCACTAGGATTAAACATGGATCTATTATGATCAAACCTCTACTGACTTCATTTCCTTATACGATCATACAAATTGGAAAATACATCTGGCAGGATACCCTTATAAAACTGAATTGCCATCCACCTGATAGAGTTCCTTCAAGAAAAAGTCTGCAGTAAATAAATTAAGGGACCTTCCATCTTTAAGATTGTAAGACTGAAGGTACTATACCGTACTCAGGTCACACTTGGTCTCATTGATAAAGCTCAAGGGGAAGAGTTCCTGGTAGAGCAGCCTGAGGATCACAGAGTAATGTTTTTGCTGAAGGTAATTTTCCTGAGTCTCACAGGAAGATGAAAACAAAGATCAATGTTGATCCACCATGTGACTTTAAGTTTCAAGAGGACAGAAGTGATACCTGTTGGGTTCATTATTCACCTGGCACATAATAGGAGCTCATAATTATTATTAAATGAATAAATATCACAGATTGCCTTGGTCCATTTGATACCAAAATATATAAACTGGTTGGCTTATAAATAACAGAAATTTATTCCTCACAGTTCTGGGGACTGGGAAGTTCAAGGTCAAGGCACCAGCAAATTCAGTGTTTGGTGAGGGCCTGTTTCCTGGCTCATAGGTGGCACCTTCTTGTTGTGTTTTCACATAGTGGAAGGGGCCTCTTTCGTAAAGCCAAAGTCCCCTTCATTAGGGCTCTGCCCTCTTGACCTAATCACTTCTTAAATGCCTCATCTTCTGACACCATCACCTGGGGTTAGGATTTTAACATATAAGTTTGGCAGAGGGGGGTGGGGCACAAACATGCAGCCCATAGCACAAATTATTTTTTACTATACCTATTCATGAAAGCAAGGTTGTGGTCTTTACTCTAAGGATCCAGAAGGCTAAACTATACTTATTCCTTGGGTGAAAGTTTAAATTTGTAAAGTATTAGACAAGCTGAGAAAAAATTTCTTTGCTGCTTCTTTTGAGATTACTTACAAATAAGCAAAAACATATTATCCTCCAAAGATGCTACCCTGGTGCTCTCCTAGCAGTTGAACTACACTAAACACAGTTTTCCCTTCCTTGCCTGCTGCCACGTCAGTGTGGAAAGAAGGGCTGATGGTTTTTCCTTCTTCAGCACATGAGAGGAAGACTCAAGAACAGACATTCACAGCGAATCCAGTCTGTTCACACACTCTGAGGGTCATGTTTTTGTGTCCCCACATTTTCAGGGCAGAGGAAGGTGGTGGGAAGCCTAGCATGACAATCAATACCAAAATTGCAACTCCATGATAAGAGATGCTGTCAACGTGGTAATGACTTGTTTAAACATTTATTAAACCACTTCACAACAAATAGTAACACATGAAGTGTTATCCTCACATTTCACAGCAACATCACTTCTAAGGAGAAAAAAATGCTAGCCAAACTGTTTTAAAATCTTCATCAAGATATTATTTAGTTAATATTTAGGGGTTTAATTTTTCCCATTTGTTCACAAAGAAAAAATGTTTCTATAAATGAATTTTGCAACCAAATGCAAGCACGGTTGTATTATTATTGCTAAAAAATAAATATCTGAAATGGGGAAATTCAACATTAGAATATCTACAGTACAATAACGTTCACCTTCTTCTATGTACTTTTCAGGTCTTCTCTTCTTCATTGACTTTTAGAGATCATGAATTATAACAAAGTTATTACTGACACCAAAATGACAATTTATAAAATTATGTGAACTTAATGTTTAACAAGATATATCTTTTTTCATTATTTTTTAAACCTTTTTTTTTGAGATGGAGTCTGGCTCTGTTGCCCAGGCTTGAGTGCAGTGGCACAATCTCGGCTCACGGCAACCTCCACCTCCAAGGTTCAAGCAATTCTCCTGCCTCAGCCTTCTGAGTAGCTGGGATTACAGGTGCCTGCCACCACATGAAAATTTTATAAAATACACTCTTATTAGTCATCCCTAAAATATTTCCATTCTCTTTCTATATATATTCTCTCAGAGAATGGGGTAGTCATCTATACATACATATACATTGTGTATATATTTATACTTTCATGTAAAATATTGCTGGAACTGGTTAAAGAAAGTTATTGATAATGTAACATTTTAATGTCTATTTATTACCCAGTCATTTAGCTCTAGATTAGTTGAGATATATGTTAGCCTATTGAAGCAAGAAGCCATTAAAGTGCAATGGTTATTAAAGACATCAAGGTTTCGGTACGTAGTTCAGGACTGGAGTGGCAGCTCAATGGAGCTAGAGATGAAAAATCCTTCTTTAATTTCACTTTACTACCCACTAGGACTTGCCTGCCTGCAGTTGAAGATGGCTCAGTACAATGACCACTGGGTTCTCATTCCAAATGAGAATGTTGCAAGGAGGTATAAAGTAGCACGCCCTTCCTTTAAAAACATTATTTAGAAGTTGTTCACATTATCTCTCCTTGGCCTTTTTGATCACCTAACCACTTTAAACTGCAGGAGAAATTAGAAAATGTTGCCTTTGTTTTGGGCAGCTATAATTTGGAGGTTCTATTAATAAATTAAAAAAGGAAATAGATACTGGAGACATCTACATGACTCTGCCACACTCACTCACTTTTTGAATATTTGATATTTTCCTATTGGAACAAATACAATCTTGTTGTTACCATAGAAGTGGAAATGCTTTGTCTTCCATTAGCCAAAATACTTGATCCCAAACTTGGTGGAGCAGCTCTCCCTGAGAGACAGTGAAAACCCTTGTGTTTCATTGTTAAGACAGATTATTCTTAGGGTGACACATCCTGATTGCAGATGCAAAAAGGTCTGACTTAACAGACTCTGGGTCTATAGAAGCCTGGATGTCAGCAATGAGCACCATTCATAAATCTGTAAAGAAATGAGAGCAAGCTTCAAAAGGAGGCACACTTTTATGCAGAAGTTACTTTCAGGAGAAGATAACTTCCTTCCCTTTTTCTGATAGATCATAAGTCACTAAACTGAGAGTAAGAGAGAAGTAGATACCTGCTGAAAGAACTCATCTGTTTCTTTGGACTCTGATTCTGTGGTAAGAGCATGTACCTGGTTAGTGATAGATGGGATGGCATCTACACCAAGCTGCCTCTGGCAACCTGCATCAGTAGAAATACAATGAGAATGCCCATAGGTCATTATATTGATAATTAAATAATCCAATAGGGGATGGGAAGGAAAATAAATAAAAATCCAGTAAACCAGCAAATATTTTATTCACAATAAAGGCTTATATTTCTCTGCAATATAAGCTCCCTGAGAATAGGAATTTTCATGTGTTATGCTTATTGCTGTTCCTGTCACACAGTAGAAACTAAAGAAATATTTATTGAAAGAATGAACAATCTAGTATCATATAACCACTGATGTATATCTGAAATACAAACTCTGCAAACCCTTTCCTTATGCTGGCTCTCCTTGGAGTGGCTCTCCTTGGAGCATCTCTCCTTGAAATCAGTAGCAGCAGTGTCCAGATGTTATTAAAACGTTATTAAAACATTAATCCCTACAGGTGGCCTCCAGTGGTCCCCCAGTAGCTAGAGTACAGAAGGTCTCCCTTCTCCACAGAAGCAGCATGGGTCCATCTAATCACAGTTTTATGCCCCCCAGGAGCATTTTCCTTGTACTGTCTTACGATGTTTTATTTTCCATGCCACCTTCTTTCTCTCTTCCCACCTTTTCCATTTCTCTTTAGAAATCATAACTGGCCTAGTCCTTCTTTCTTACTTACCACACCCATAAGATTTAAAAAATAGAAATTCCTCTTAAAATAATGAGTAACTCAACACTGTGAAATTCTCTAGATAATTCAGCAGTCTCCTGATCACAAACTGTATCCTATCTACCCAATTGTAAAATTCCCAATTCACTACAGAAACTCATGATGAATTAGAAAAAGCAAGTTGTAAAAGTACTGTGGGGTTAGCTCTATTCAGGAAAGAAAATGAAAGCAATAAGGGCAAAACAGAAAAAACAAAAACAAAAACAAAAAAACTAGCACTGTGCATTGATACTGTTTTTATAATAATAAAAAATCAAAATTGTTGAGTACTTTGTCATTTACACAATCCACTGGTACACGTAATTAAACTGAGGCCCAGTATTTTTAAGCAGGTTCTTCAATATTATGTAACTGATATACCTTGGAACACAGAACTAGACTCAAGTCCTCTGAGTCTAAATGTTATGTTCTTATCTATACATTGTGTTACTTCTAAAAAGATTAATATACATTCAAAAATCATTAAAAAGCCTTACATCCTGTGGCAGGCCAGTACATTTACTGAATATAACAATTGTTTAAAATCATGGTATTGTAGCTTAGTAATTTATCTTCATCAGTTGAAAGGTATGTTAGAAGTAATTTAACAATAATAAGATGCCACTCTTCAGGCATGAACAATGGCTACTTTTTCTATAACTTAGAGCAGATATCCTTGTCACCCACACTCATTCACTTGCATTCCAATATGCCCTTTTAAAGGAACACAAAATTAGTGTAATGATAGCTATCATTATCAGGCCAGCATTTGTACAGAATTTTGGTTCCACCAATGAGAGTGCACCTCAAAGGGAAATAGCATTTTTGTGTATGTCATTTATGAGAACCTCTGGGTCAAAAAAAAAATCTAAGGTTACAAATGTTATTTATTTATTTATTTATTTATTTATTTATTTATTTATTTTACTGGTCACAGACTACACCAGCCACAGTACAAAGTTGTGCCTTTGGGTCATAAGTGGGACCAGTGAAGATCTGGGGTTAGAAGAGACCTGGGGCTGTTATTGGAAAAGAGAACCAATGTAATCATCTCTGTATATAAATGCCAACATCTTGCTTTTGGTCACATTTACTATCATGACCAAAGGAGTAGGAAAAACTAGAAAAAAATTAAAAGAACAGGACTCAGCCTCCATTAGCCAGTACAAATGCCATTTCTCTGTAATCTTCTAGGTCTATAACAGGCAATTCTAATTGATTGCTCCTTTCTCCCATGTTCTGTACATACATTCAATACTATAATAGTTATTGCTCTTGTAATTATTCATTGCATTTTTGTCTTCTCCCAAACCCAAAAACTCCTTAAGGGGAAGAAAAATGTTTTATTCATTTTTATGCATCTATAATAGGTACTCATAAAATGTCTATTTAATATGAATGATTGATTAGGATTGGAAAGTAGAACTTATGTTCTCTTTTAAAAAAGCACTGGGAATTTTTCAAGATGTGGAGTGGTCAAAATAAGGGTATTTTTTAATGAATGACTACTAAGACAGATACAGATAGTAATCAAACTCTTGTCTTCACCAGAAAAAAATAACAGTTTTATCAAAGTGATATTTATGTTACTCTTTGTGACAGGTTAAAGGTTTTCAAAGGGACCCAGAGTTAAATGGCAAGTTGTAGGTGGGAGGCAGCCTTTCACATCTACATGTACTCTGATATGAGCTGCCTGCCCTCTCTCCTCTAGTAAGGGATGGAAGTGGGACTCTTGTGAGGGCTGGAGTTCTCAGGAGATGGAATGTATTGGGAGTAAATGATGCTGGGAGATGGTAAGGGATATAGAGCTAAGGAAACTCAAAGGCCAAGTCATTGACCAAGTGATTTAGGACATAAAGGACAATTTTATCGTCAAACCCAAGAGAGTAGTGATGAGATACAAAAAGAAAGATGAAGAATGACACCCTATGAGGCATCTTGGGACTTTGGGCAGAATGAAACTCTCTAAAGTATCATGCGAATTTAAGTATAAATTTGTAAATATGTTTATATAAAAATTTAGGACAAAAATAGTGAAAACGGGAATAACGCTAGTCAAGGGAAAATACAGCAGTTTTTAAAGCCTCTCTCTTAATGGTCTACATGAGTTTTTGTGTAACGTTTGTTATACAAGCTTTTACTCATCTAACAATGGATTTTTATAAACATTCAGTTTATTTTTTCATGTCAATCTTCTAGATCATTTAATTGATATTCAAGATATGCCCCAAATGTTATGGACCTTTTTTTCAACTCTGGGTGGATAAACAAAAGTCACTTCATCATGTCACATGTTATGAGATCCAATTTTCTAAAGAATTAAATCACAGCATTTATCTGACTTCTGTCATTATAGGAATATAGTCTAGGTCATATTTGTATATGTTCTTCTCCCTTCAGTGCACTGCTGCCTGTATTCAATTGTAAGCTTCCTACAGGTAGTATCTGTAAACAGTCGCTGGTTATCTCTCATCTGTATGGTCTTCATGGCACTTGGCTGTGAGGACTCAAACAGTGCTCTTTGAACTGTGTATAATCACTATTTCTATATTTTCTCTAGCCATGCTGAAAGTTTTGCCATGGAAATAAATTCATTACTTTTATTCTTAAATTAGGTTGTCTGATACAAGAGATTTTCCAGGCTCCTTCATTTATTCATTTATTGAACAGATGTTTGTTAAGTACCTTTTTGTCTTAGCCATAGGTCTACATGCTGGAGAAACAGCAATGAACCTCAAAACAATTCTTGTTTACATGAATTTTATATCTACTAGTGGCAAAAGGATTTTAAAAAATTATAAGTATTTAGTATGTTGACAAGTACTACAAATTTTAAAACTGTGGTGGCAAGTCTATTATATAGAGTGTAGTCAAGGAAGGTCTCACTGATAAAATGACATTTCCCAGAAAATAACAGTTGTATGGGAATAAGCCATGTGGTTGGTTGATATAAATAAATAAATAAATAAAAGATATAGGTCAAAGCAAAAGCCTGGGCAAAACCTATGAGGCAAAAGCATTCTTGATGTGCTCAAGAAACAACAAGGAGACCAGTGTGGAGCAGAGTGAATAAGGGATAAGATAATAGAACATAAAGACAGTGAATGATTTTGCACTTACCAGTTATTATGGGGCTTCATAGGTGCTATGATTTGAATGTATGTGCCCCTGCAAAATTCATATGTTGGATGTATTAACATCAACAAATTTCAATATGACTGTATTAAGAGGTGATGCCTTAGGAGGCAATTAAGTCATGAGGGTGGAGCCTTCATGAATGGGATTAGTAATCTTGTAAAAGTACTGAAGGGAACTAGCTAGGCCCTTTTGCCCCACCTGCTTTTTGGCCGTGTGAGGACACAGCAACAAGGCACCATATTAAAAGCAGGGCACTTTGAGAGGCCAAGGCGGGCAGATTAGCTGAGGTCAGGAGTTCGAGACCAGCCTGGCCAACATAGTGAAACCCCATCTCTACTAAAAATACTAAAATTAGCCGGGCATGGTGGCACATGCCTGTAATCCCAGCTACTCGGTAGGCTGAGGCAGGAGAATTGCTTGAGCCCGGGAGGTGGAAGTTGCAGTGAGCCGAGATTGTGCCACTGCACTCTAGCCTAGCCAAGAGAGCCAGACTGTCTCAAAAAAAAAAAAAAAAAAAAAGCAGGGAAGAGCCCTCACTAGAACACCAACTCTGCTTGCAGCTTGATCTTGGATTTCTTAGCCTGCAAAATTGTAAAAAATAAATTTATATTATTTACAAACTACTCAGTCTAAGGCATGATATTACAGTTCAGAAACAGCCTTAGATAATAGGGCTTTGGGTTTTACGTGGAATCGCATGGAAAACCACTGGAGGATTTTACGTAGAGGGTTTACATGGCTGCTCTGTTGAAAATAATTTGTAGAGAAACAAAACACAAAGACAGGGAGAACAGGTGGGAGGTCATAATAATAATCCAGGCAAGAGATTATAATGACTTTGGTAAGAGTGGCAGTAGTAAAAGAAAAAGTGGTAAAATTATAGATTTTTATTATATGCTTAAAGTAGAGACAAGAGGAGCTCCATATAAATTGATTTCCATGTGTGTAAGGAGAAAGATGACAGCAAACACTTCGGCTGGAACAGTAAGAAGAATGGAGTTCTACAAGCCTTGAGACTGAATCATACAGGTAAGAGAGAAAGTGTAGGTAAAGAGGTATAATGCAAGAGATTTCAAAGACTGTGATATTTAGAAGTGGCCAGAGAAGTAGAAATAGAAGTAAGAGAAAGTGATGTTTTTGAAGTCACATGAAGGAATTATTTTTAAAAAGAAGGCATAATTGTGTCAAACCAGATGAGGATCAAAGATCCATGGACGTAGCAAAATGGAAAACATTGGTACACTTAAATAACAGCTACTCTTGATGGAGTGGTTGAGCTAAAATTCTATTGCTATGGGAACAGGAGAAAATCAGAGAAGACCTAGATACAGTGTGTATTGATAGCTCTTTTGAAGGCTTATGTTGTAAAGAAAGAGAGAAGAGAAATGGAGAAGAAACTGGAGAGGGGCATGTAATTAAAAAAAGAGGGCTTTTTTTTTAGTAGGAAAATCACCTAGATGAGGTTCTAGTGAACATTGGAGGGGTTGCATAGGAGCACAGTTAGCTGATTTACATTAAGGAGAGGGAAGGTGAAGTATATGGGTGGGTCTCCATGCAGATGGGATGGTAGATGTGGTGGTGAGACACTGGGAACAATATTTTCAGATTGCTTCTATAATTTCAGTGAAATATAAATCAAGATTATCAGAGACTGAGTATGAGGGAGAGTTTGATTCTTGAGAAGAGGGTAGAAGTATTGGGAAAAATGAAACAGACTAAGGAAATGTGGGTCTGCCTGACAGCACTGTAAGTCTAGTGGAAATGGTCATGAACTTAAAGTGCAATGAGTTAGTATAGATTTACCCTCAGTTTAGCTGCTGAGATGCAGGCACAAAGCAGGCAGAGTTTAAATACTGCTTCACCACTTACAAGCTGTGTGTTCCTGGAGGACTTACTTAACTTCTCCAAGCTCCTATTTTCTTATTTATTTTTACAGGTGTGTTGTAAGACTCAAATGAGATAATATATGTATACTGCAGTAATTAGGAGCTCAAACACTGGAATTAGTCTGATTGAGTTTAAATCCTGATTCCTAAAAGAGAGAGGGACAAGGGAAATGCAGGCATATGCAAAGTAATGTTTATAATTACAAACCATGGAATCTAAGCTGTTTAAGGAGGAAAATAAGAATATGAAATCAGATAAGAGAGGACAGTGAACACATGATTGAATCAGTTGAGCTTGTTTTGGAGTCAGCTTACTAGCTAGAAAAATAGAAGGTGGTCACAAAGTAGAACACTTAAAGCTGAGATTATGGAAGGAGTGCAGTAATTGATAGAACCTTGAAAACAAATGTCTCACATAAGGTAGAGGAATAGATTAACAAAGAAGAGGTCAAGAAGCTCAATGTCAACAAGTGTCATTCATGTGGTTATTGAGATCCCTAAGAAGTATGATGGGAAGTGGTGTTGGTAAGAATGACAATGAGGCAAAGCTAAAAATACTAAAGGAATGAGTGCATTCTGTAAGTGACTGCAGCAAGGAAGGATGTACGGATAATCTCATGGCAGCATTTTCAAAGACAGGGAAATGTTAAGGAGAAATATGGGAAAAAGAAGTGAGGAAGACACCACCTTACCTTGAAGCCTAGTAGTACAAGAAATGCAGGAGAAAAAAAAAGTCCCCGCTTCATAGAGATCAGAGCAAATTTGAACTGCCTAGTTTCCTAAGACTCAAACTTCATGTTCCTAGATCATAAGCAAGCCAATCAATTCTGCACTTTGTAGGAATGCACTCTACAACATCATTCATCCCCTATATTACAGCATTTTGCTGCATCCTTAGAGGAGTCTGTTGCAAATAAAAGGTCAACACATGTAATAATGGAATCAAAAGAGTGTGAAAATATGCAATAGGGCATCCTCAGAAAAATATTCAGAGTAATTAACTAAGTACATACCTGAAGTTAGCATTAATAGTAGGATAAATATAAAACACTATTTTCTTTTAAATAGTTACATTTTTCTGGTCGTTTCCAAATTTTTTTACATTGATATAGAAATCATTGAAGGAAAAACTTATAGATATTATTTTCTCTTTATTACAGAGTATGTGTGAAAATACATATATATTTTCTATAATATATGTTTGATATATATGTACACACATCACTATAATTAGTAATTAGAAACTATTACAGGAAAATATATTTCAATAATATATATTCTCTATGGTGTGTGTGTATATATATGTACACACACATGCACATACCCCATTCCTTTAACATGTTATTTTTGAATGCAAAAATCTATAAATACATGAATAATAATTCTTTAAATTTAGAATTTTAATTTTTTTTTATTTTTGTGGGTACAGGAGCAAGGTTTCACAATTCTAAATAAAGACGAGATCCACCACTTGCATGACTCTGCCTCACTCACGTTACCCTAATCCCCAGGCCTGGTTTCAATAACAATTTATTGACAAATATAGGCAGCTGACCTGCAAGCCATAGTTTGCCAATTTGATTTTTTAAATATTGCATTAAAATATTATTTAAGTTGATTACTGAATTTTTTATACCCTCTCGAACTTTATGCTTGAAACATGGGTTTAACTCACATCATGCTATTCCAAGACTGTCAGAAATTTTTGAACAAATAATAGCAAGATGGCTAAATAGGAGCTTATACTCATCATATTGCCACAGAAATATTAATTTTGATAACTATCCAGAGACAGGAATATTTCTCTGAGAACCTGGGGTTCCAGTGGAGAGAGTCCCTAACCCTATCCTAGCAAATAATCTGAAAATAAACACACTGAAGGGGTAAGAGAAACAATTGCACTTATCTGTGTCACCTCTACTGCAAAGTGGCACAGCTCAAGAGAGACCCCCTTGGCCCATGGCTTGTCTTACGGGGAAAGTATAAACAGAGTGGGCACTGTAATTATCTGTTCTTATGCTCCTATAAGGACATACCTGAGACTGGGTAATTTATAAAGGAAAGAGGTTTAATTAACTCACAGTTCCACATGGCTGGGAAGGCCTCAGGAAATTTACAATCATGGTGGAAGGTACCTCTTCACGGGGTGGCAGGAGAGAGAATGAATGCCAAGTGAAGGGGGAAGTCCCTTATTAAACCGTCAGATCTCAAGAGAACTCACTCACTATGATGAGAAGAGCAGGGGGGAAATTTCCCCATGATTCAATTACCTCCCCACTAGGTCCCTCCCATGACATGTGGGGATTATGGAATTACAATTCAAGATGAGATTTAGGTGGAGACACAAAGCCAAACCATATCAGGCACTCAGCCTCACTAGCCTTGCAGAATGCTGTCCAAGAAGGTCACTTACTGTCTTGCCCTACTCAGATTACTGAGGAGACATGCACAACAGAACAGCCTGAGAAGAGTAGTGCAAAGAGCAAGGAAAAGGGGCAGGGCTCACAGCAAATGACACATGGATCTCAAAAACTGCCCACAGATCCCAGTAACTGGCTTATAGACTTCACCAAGAGACCCACCCATGAATTCCATGGGATACATCACCTGTAGCTACCCCTTGCTGGCCAGCGTGTGCTCCAGCTCTCTGTACATTTCCTCAAAACAATGCACATAGCCACTATAGGAGGCATTGGCAAATCCTTGCAGATAGTACATGAATATAAGCAGCTGGCTCAACTGTGCAAGATTGGGAGAAAATGCACAACTGTGAACACTTAAGGGGACTTTACTGGAGAAGGAAATGAAAGGCTGTCAGCATTCAGACAGACTTTGTGAGAACAATAAAAAACACACAATCCTAAGACTCTCTTCCCAAAAGAGGAGAAAAAGAGAAATGGGACAAGCACACAAATACATAATGCCCGAGAGACTCCCAGTACTTCTACGCAGACTGGTGAAAGTCTTTCTTTGTCTCTCAAAGCCTGTTAGTAAAGACTAGAGAAGGACATTGCTTCTTCAAATGCAAAAACAGCAACACAAGATTTTAAGAAAAACGAAGACTCAAAAACATAACACCACCAAAGAAAAAATATCAAGTTCCAGTGGCTAACCCTAAACAAATGAGGATTTACGAATTTCGTGACAAAAATAACCTTTTAAAGAAGTTCAGTGAGCTACAAGAAAAAAGACATAGACAAGAGTACCAAGAAAACAATACATTAACAAAATTGGAAATTCAATAAAGAGATTAGAAACTATAAAAAAGAGCCAAAAACATTCTGGAGCTGAAGAATGCAATGACTGAAATTAAAAATTTGATAGACAGCTTCAACAGCAGACTCAAGTAAACATAAGGAAGAATTAAATAACTCAAAGATAGATTATTTGAAATTATCCAGAGGAGCAAAAAGAATGAAAATAGTGAAGAAAGGCCGTATGACTTATGGGTCACCATTAAGTAAAACAATGTATGCATTATGGGAATTCCAGAAAAAGCAGATAAAGAAAAAAAGGAAGGAAGCATATTTTAAAAAATAATGACAGAATGATTCCCAAATCTGGGGAGAGAAATGAACATTCAGACCCATGATGCCCAAAGAATTTCAAGTAGGCTGAATATCAAGAATTCTTCACCAAGACACGTTATAATTAAATGTCAAAAGTTAAAGACAAAGAGTTTTGAGGCAGTAAGAAAAAAGCAACTTGTCACATACCAGGGAACCTCCATAATACTATCAGCAGATTTCTCAGAAGAAACCTTGCAGATCAGGAGAGAGTGGGATAATAGATTCAAAGTACTGGGGGAAAAAATTCAACTAGGAATACTTTACCCAAAAAACTATCTTTCAGAAATAAAGGAGAGATAAAGAGTTACGCAGACAAAAGCTGGGGGAGTTAATTATTACCAGACTTGCCTTCCAAAAAATGCTAAAGGGAGTTCTTAAAGTTGAAAAAAAAAAAAAAAGAACACTACATAGCAACATGAAAGCATATGAAAATATAAAACATCCTGGTATAGGTAAGTATATAGTCAAATTCAGAATACTCTAAGACTGTAATGGCAATTAATAAAAACCTTTTAATGATAATATAAAAGTTAAAAGACACAAGTACTAAAAGTAGCTGAAGCTACAACAATTTATTAATGATGCACATTATAAAAAGATGTAAATTGTAACATCAGTGAAATAAAATGTGTGTCGGGAAAATAAAAGTGTAGATTTTTTGTATGCCATTGAAGTTGAGTTGTTATCAGGTTAAAATAACCTATTATGACTATAAGATGTTTTATGCAAGCCTCATGTTGATAACAAAGAAAAATCTAATAGATAGATGAAAGATTAAGAAGAAATAAACCATAACAATATAAAAAAGTCATCAAATCCCAAAGGAAAACAGCAAGAGAAGAAGGAACAAAGAAACTATAAAACATTCAGAAAACAATGAAGAAAATCACAATAACAAGTCCTTATCTATTAAAAAATGCTTCAATTACTTTATATGTGAATGGATTACATTTCCCAATCAAAAGATACAGAGTGATGGAATGGGAAAAAAAAAATCCACCCTACTCTATACTGACTACAAGAGACTCACTTTAACTTTAAAGATACACATAGGCTAAAAGTGGAGGAATGGAAAAACATATTCCATGCAAAGGGTAACCAAAAGAGCAGGGGTGGCTATATTTATATCACATAAAATAGATTTAGGTAAAAAATTGTCACAAGAGACCAAGAAAGTCATTATATAATGATAAAGGGGTCAATTCATCAAGAAGACATAACTGTTATAAACATATATGTTCAACCACCATTGGAACACCTAACTATATAAAACAATTATTAATGGAACTAAAAAAAGAAATAGAAATACAGTAAGCATAGGGGATTTAAAAATCCTCACGATATTAGATAGATCATCCAAACAGAAAACCAATAAAAATAAAAACAGCAGACTCGAATAATACTATAAATCAAATAGATCTAATGAATATACACAGAAAATCCAGCAAGAGCAGAACACATATTCTCCTTAAGTACACATGAAACATTCTATGAGATAGATGATGTGTCAGGCCACAAAACAATCCTAACAAATTTAAGACAATTGGCATTGTATCAAGTATCTTTTCTGACTACAATAGTATGAAACTAGAACTCAGTAACAAAAGGAGTATTGGAAAATTCACAAATATGTAGAAATTAAACATCACACTCCTGAACAACCAATGGGTCAAGACAGATATCAAAAGGAAAATTAAAAATCATATATTTAGACAAAAATGGAAACACAGCATTCCAAAATTCATGTTATGAAGCAAAAGCAGTTTCAGGAGAGAAGTTTATAGCAAAAATACCTACATCAGAAAAAAGGAAGATCTCAAATAAACAACCTAACTTTATGCCCAGAGCAACTTGGAAAAGTATAAACTAAGCCCAAAGTTAGCAAAAAGAAGGAAAGAGTAATTATTAGAAGAGAAATGAATGAAACAGAGATTAGAAAAGCAATAGAAAAGATTAAAAAAATAAGGTGTTTGTTTTTTGAGAAGATAAACAAATTTGACAAATATTTAGCTAAATTAAGAAAAAAAGAAGACTCAAAATCATAAATGAAAAAAGAGACATTGCAACTGATGCCACAGAAGTACAAAGGATCATGAGAATACTATAAAGAATTATATGCCAACAAATCAGATAACCTAGAAGAAATGAATAAATTCCTAGTAACATACAACCTACCAATTCTAAATTATGAAGAAAAAGAAAATCTGAACAGACCAATAATAAGTAAGGAGATTGAATTAGTAACCAAAAACCTACCAATAAAGAACAACCCAGCACCAGATGGCTTCATGGGTGAATTCTATAAAACATTTTAAAAAGAATTAATTCAAATTCTTCTCAAACTCTTACAAGAAAATAAATAGGAGGGAATACCTGCAAGCCCATTTTATGAGGCTGCCAGCATTACCCTGATACCAAAAACAGACAAGGACTCAACAAGAAAAGTATAGGCCAATATCCCCAATGAACACAGAAGCAAAAATCCTCAATAAAATGCTAACAGACCAAATTCAACAGTATATACCATGATCAAGTGGGGAATTATCCATGGGATGCAATGATGGTTGAACATACACAAATCCATAAATGTAATATATGACATTAACAAAATAAAGAATAAAACTTACATGATCATCTCAATAGACGCAGAAAAAGCACTTGACAAAGTTCAACATCCTTTCATGATATAGAAAGTATGCACCTCAACATAAAAAAGGTCACACATGACAAGCCCATAGCCAGCATCCTACTCAATTATGAAAGGATAAGAAAATGGAAAGATATCACATATTTACAGATCAGAAGTATTAGTGTTATTAAAATGTTTATACTACCCAAAACAACCTACAGATTCAATGCAATCTCTATCAAAATTCAATGGCATTTTCTGCAGAAATAGAAAAAGCAATCCTAAAATTTATATGGAATCACAAAATACCATGGATAGCCTAAGCAATCTTGAGATAGAAGAACAAGTATATGCAGGCATCACATTTCCTGATTTTAAAATATATTACAAAGCTACAGTAATAAAAACATTGTGGTACTGGCATGACACCAGTCAGACAGACTTCATAGACTAGTAGACCCATAGAATAGAGAGTGAAGAAATAAACCAACGCATACATGATCAGCTAATCTTCAACAAAGGTGCCAAAAATACACAATGGAGAAAAGATAATTGTTTCAATAAATATTATTGGGAAAACTGGATATCCATAGGTCAAAAAAATGTAATTTCACCTTCATATTACACCATATACAAAAATCAACTTGAATTAAGGACTTAGAAATAAGCTCAAAAACTATAAAACTCCTAAAAGAAAACATAGGGGAGAAACTGCTTGGCATTGGTCTTACAAACAATTTGTTGAATATGACACTAAAAGCACACAAAAGCAAAAATAAACAAATGGGATTACATTACACTAAAAAGCTTCTACACAGGTAAGGAAGCAATCAACAAAATAAAAAGTCAACCTATGAAATGGGAGGAAATATTTGTGAACCATTTATCTGATTAGGAGTTAATATCTAAAATATATAAGGAACTCATAGAGTCCAACAGAAAAAGAAAAAACAATCCAGTTAAAAAAATGAGCAAGGGACCTAAATAGACATTTTTTCCAAATAAGACATACAAACATTCAAGTATATAAAAAATGCTCAACATCACTAATCAGCAGAGAAATGCATATTAAAACCACAATGAGATATTACCTCACACCTGTTAGAATGGCTTCTGTTACAGAGATAAAAGATAACAAGTTTTAGCAAGGATGTAGAGAAAAGGGAACCCTGGTACACTGTTTGAGGGGATTGTAAATTGGTACAGACATTATGGAAAATAGCGTGAAGGTTCCTCAAAAAATTATAAATAGAACTATCATATGACCCAGCAGTCCTACTTCCAGGTATTTATCCTAACAAATTAAAGTCAGGATCTTAAAGACATACCTGTACTCCTATGTTCACTGTAGCATTTTTCACAATAGCCAAGATATGAAAATAACCTAAATGCTCATAGACAGAAGAATAAATATAGAAATGGTAGTACACACACACACACTCTTTCTTTCTCTGTCTCTCTCCCCCTCAACACACACTCACACATATACAAAATATTATTCATCCTTAACAAAGAAGGAAATTCTATCACATATAACAACGCGGATGGACCTGATCGAAATTATGTCAAGTGAAATAAGACAGACACAGAAAAGCAAATACTATTTAATCTCACTTATAAGTGGAATCTAAAATAGTCAAACTGATAACAGCAGAGAGTAGAATGGTGGTAACCAGAGGCTGAGGAAAGAGGATATGGGGAGATGTTGATCAAAGTGTACAAAGTTTCAGTTATGCAAAATCAATCAGCTCTTGAGATCTAATGTACGGCATGGTGACTAAAGGTAACAATACTGTATTGCATACTGAAAATTTGCTAACAAGGTACGTCCTAAGCGTTATCATCCCCAAAATAAATAAACAACTATGTTAAATAATGAGTAAGTTAATTAGATTGATTGTGGTGATTATTTCACAATGTATATATATGCACATCAAATCATCAAGTTAAATATATACAATTTTTAAATACATAGAATTTTTAAAGTCCCTGGAAATGAATGTTTATGGTATTAATATTTCTACTTCCACACTCCCCACAAATCCTGCTTCACTTTACACAGAGACACAGACAACTGATACACAAACACACACCTTAAAGTACCAACCAGTTACTCATTCCATTCATTTCGGTACAAAAAGTACTTCCTGGGAGTCTTGTGACTCTTTGCTTGCCAACTGCCCAGTTTGTCCATGCAATATCTATTAGTGAATTTATCTTGGAGCAAACAAGAAGCCCAGGAGGGTTGGCAATTATAACCAGCAGTTACCAAAATGGTGTTGAAATTATTTAAGACAGTGTTGGTAAGATTTGTTAAATACCCTTTGAAACTATTTCACATCTGGAATGGCTAAATTGAGGTGATCTTCACAGGAAAATTAAGTCACCAAGAATAATATGATTATACACCATGACAATACAGCATGATTATATCAATGATGTTAAGCTAATGGGAGAAGTACAAAAGTCTCAACTCTATCACCATTCAGTCTGGAATAAATAAAAACTTAGGACAGAACAAATTAAGAAGTGAACAATTTAATACCATAATTGGTAGTGAGAAATGTAAAAATTAGTAATCATTGAAGAAATTATTACCATATGTTTAATGTATTAACTGTAGCTATTAAAACTATATTATATTATTTTGTCAGATTATGTAATTAGTGAGATTTTTCTAGAGTGTAAGCTACTTCCTGAGAGGAAAATTCGGTTTTTGGGAAACCTCAGTATTTAGGACATATTTAACTGTATATTAATTCTGTATTATGGTTTATGCAATGTAAGGTCTGATTCAATTGTAAAAATAGGTTTTTTAAGGTGAGGTGCCAAATAAGGTGTCAAAAAACAACATTTAGTCACTGGTAATTACAGATCACTAAATAAATCTGGAGCCTTTATGCCTCCTACAATCTTGTAAGATTTTAGGAGATAGACCTGGGAAAGTTAGGGTGACCCTCATAGATCTTAGAATACTCTCCCAGTCAAGACATACACCGATGTCAAAGACCCTCAGAATATCAAGTACATTTCAGAACATTCCCAGGATACTAGTATGGACTGATGAGACAAGTCTATTAATGACTAGAAATTCTTGAAGAAAACTGGAAATGCGGACCTACTTAAAATATTCAGGATTTTTGTAACTTATCATCGCTTAATACAGGGAATATTCTTTTTCATTTATTCATTCATTTGTCACAAAATATTAAATATCCACATTGTAGCAGGCACTCAGATACATATACTCCACTTACAGGGCTTATATTTTATTAGAGAAAAGACTAAATATAGACATATAAATGCACAGGCACACACATAAATGAAACTAACTCAAAATTAAGCTAAATGCTATGAAAGAAATTCAAAAAAGATCAAAGATATTATGGGGGCTAGGGATCACCTTTACAAAGCCAGGGAAGACCTCTCTAAGAAAGTGGCATTAGCAAAAACTTGAAATAAAAGCAACCTTGAGAAGCTTGGTGGGAAAGAACATTCTAGGGAGAGGTTGCAGCATGTGTAGCAAAATCTCCTGGAGCAGAGTGTAACTTTTGCATATTCAAGAAACAGAAAAATTCTATCTGAGCTGGAACATTACAGAGGAGGGTAAATGTCACACATGCACATCTCAATTTCCCTGGACTTACACAGCATGCAAAATTGGAATACAGAGCTATAGAAATTGGACATAGATGTTAGAAATGGATAAGCATTCAGAATTATAGTCTTACTAAGATTAGTTTACATAGCATAAAATTCACCTCTTATGAGTATCAGCTTAATGATATTTAATAAATACATATATAATTGTGCAACCAACACCCCCAAATTTAAAACGTTTTCATCACCCTAAAAAGTTGCCTCATGTTCTTTGTAGTTGATTTCTACTCTGTTAATCACCCCCGGGCAACCAGTGATCTGTATTTTTTCTTCATAGATTTACCTTTTCTAGAAGTGTCATATAAATTTAAACATACAATACATAGTCTTAGTGTCTGGCTTCTTTCACTTGGCATAATGTTTTTGAGGTTACTCTGTTGTTTCCTGTACACATGATTCATGGCTTTTATTGCTGAATTGTATTCCTTTGTATGGATGTACCACATTCTCTTTATTCATTTACCAGTTGATGGACATTTGTGTTGTTTCCAATTTTGAACTGTTATGCATAATGCTGCCATAAACATTGGTTGACAAATCTTTATATGAACACAAGTTTTAGTTAGATACCTAGAAGTGAAATTACTTGGTTGTTTATATGGTAGCTCTGTAATTAGCTTTTGAAGCAGTTGCTGTACTGTTTGAGTCACATGTTTTTAATTTCTTACTCATAAACTGGTTATGGAGGATAATAGTAATTATGAGAGAGCCTGCTGGAATACTGAATGGAATCTGTAGAATACTCATCTCTTTCTAATCTGACATCATAATATCACGAGGAACCTGGATATGAAAATAGCAACTACTGCCACTTACTTGGAAATAAAAGATCATGAGAATAAAGTGGACAACTTTTAAAAGGTTTATGAGGGCTTTACATAATTGTTGTTTGTTTTTTTTTTTTTTGAGATGGAGTTTTGCTCGTTACCCAAGCTGGAGTGCAATGGCGCAATCTTGGCCCACTGCAACCTCCACCTCCTGGGTTCAAGTGATTCTCCTGCCTGAGCCTCCCGAGTAGCTGGGATTACAGGCACGTGCCACCACACCTGACTAATTTTGTGTATTTTTAGTAGAGACGGTGTTTCACCATTTTGGTCAGGCTGGTCTTGAACTCCTAACCGCAGGTGATCCACCCACCTTGGCCTCCCAAAGTGCTGGGATTATGGGTGTGAGCCACCACGCCTGGCCTACATAATTATTTTAATGAACCTCTCAGTTCATCACATTAATGCAGGGTCTGTCATAGAAAACATTTTTTCTAATTCTTGAAACTGAAGTTTGTATAATTCCAACCAGTGTGGAAATCTATCTTGCGATAACCAGAAATATTCCTCCACCATGAGGTCCAAAATGTAAGTTTTCCTTTTCTCCTAATAAGAACTATTTCCATGGCATTAACCTATTTCTTGGCCACCATCTACGTCTGGACAATGGAATTTTCCTATAATAACTTCAGATCTCAGAAATGTAAAAGGTAAATGAAATGCTAAATTTTGCCTACTAGTAGAGGGTGGCAAAACTGATGAAGACAATGTGCAATGACTTTCTATATGAGGCAGAAACATGCACAACGCATAAAGAAAAAGAAACTAAAAATATCTGATGTTGTTATAAAGGAAAGCAGAGCCAAAAGCAATTTGTCTGTGCTTCTTGCCCATCTGTGTGGCTCCTTCACTTAAACAGCCAATGCAGTCAAATCTGATTTGCTTTCCTGTTATAAAAGTTGTGGCTTAACTAGGAGCTATGCTGAAATGTCTAGATAAAGACATCTTTACATAAATACTGTATATATGTCTATGTTTTACACATATGCTTTCTACATGTGATTTTTGTACACACACCCTGTCTTCCCATCTTCAGGTAATGTGTTAGCCCATGAGAAATATCTAAAGGGAAGTCTTTCTTCTAGAGCTGGGAGAACTGTTCTTTCTTCTGAACTTGACTATATCACTAGCAAAGCTACAGAGACAGAGTTATTTCTCTGGTCTCATTTCAGAAAAGAAAGTTACCTTCAATGTACTCAAAACTGGAAGAAATAAACTGAGCACTTATAAAAATACCCCTGGGTAGCCAGGAGGTATATGTACTGTGGTCCTTGTCCATCGAATTGGGAGTCAAGAGACTAAGTGATTTGTCCAACATTATTAAGCTCTTCCCATGAGGAGCTAAACACGACATCCAGATAGCCTGTCCTTCAGACTGGTGTTCCAACCAGCTGACCACTCTAGCTATAAACATTTGCCCCGGCTGTATTTTCCCACTCCTGGATGATTGTCTGCCTGGCATTGAGACGACAGAAGCACGAAGCCAAAATATCCTTATGTGGGCATAGCTGCCTCTTCATGGCAGAGCCAATTTGGATCCCATCCATTGGCAGGGATGTCCCAGAAGCAGCCAATTTTAGTTCAGCCTCTTTAAAACTCTGGATTGTAAACAAACAGTAGGAGTTTCTTTCCACAGTGGAAGGGAGAATAATGAGAAGAAGGATGCAGAAGAGAGGGGGTAAGTGAGGCTAGCACCTAGTTTACCAGAGGAATTAGGAATGAAAAAAATGAGCTGGAAACCTCCAGAGACTAACTGATAATGCCCTAGATCTTTTAGCTTTTAAAGACGATGAACTGCATGTAGCTCTTTCCTCCTTTTCTTCCATACTCCTTTAAATTTCCATCTCATTGCTTAGTTCTCTCCATTATTGTCTTGGCCTTTTTATTTTTTATTTTTAATTATTTACTTATTTATTTATTTTTAGACGGAGTCTCACTCTGTAGCCCAGGCTGGAGCTAGGCTGGAGTGCAGTGGCGGGATCTCAGCTCACTGCAAGCTCCGCCTCCCGGGTTCACGCTATTCTCCTGCCTCAGCCTCCGGAGTAGCTGGGACTACAGGCTCCCGCCACCAAGCCCGGCTACTTTTTTGTATTTTCAGTAGAGACGGGGTTTCACCATGTTAGCCAGGATGGTCTCGATCTCCTGACCTCGTGATCCGCCCGCCTCGGCCTCCCAAAGTGCTGGGATTACAGGCATGAGCCACCGGGCCCGGATGTCTTGGTTTTTCTTGATATTTGAAACAGTAGGTCAAAATTGGACATGTCTAGTAGGCGGTTGCTGGTTTAGTAATAAAGGGTAGTAGCTGTAATTGCCCAGTTTGAATAGTGTTCATGTTTTTAAGGATTTCACAAACAAATCTTCATCGAATAAATGTTTTTAAAAAATGATTACTGATTAGATTCAATATAAATTAAGGAAGGTCCCATCATATCTCTTGCACAAATCATTGCCTTCCAGAATTAAGCACAGCATCGATATGTATGTCTTACATGACATATTGCTCTGCAATGTGATGGAATCAACAGAACAAGATGTTTGGAGTCAGATGGCTAAACTAGGATTTAAAGTTCACATTATTTACTAGTTAACTGTGGATGCTAAGGCAATATTCTTGAAGTCTCCATGTCTTGATTTCCTCTTAGTGAAATGGGAATCATAATAATAATAATTTTACAGGGTTGGTGTAAAAACGAAATGACTGCCTGCACTCAATACAATACCTATTATGGTTATGTTAGTTATATTATGATTAATGTATTAGTATACTATTGATAAAATGAATATGAAATTGCTAGTAGCCAGCTCACAATATTAGTATGACAAAAATTATTTCAATTTGGTTTAAATACAATACCTGTGGTCAATAACATCATCTTTTCTTAAAACTTAATGCACTGAGCACTGTCAATTACAATGAAAAAAAAATGCAAGTAACCCAGTTGGACTATCCATTAACTGAGAAAATATAATATGAAAAAGCCACCATGAATTCAGGACCACTTATGAATGTAGCTGTATTTTATTGATAGAATTTATATGTGCTTAGAAAAAACATAGTACATTTTATGTTAGATATATTTATTCAGATTACCAAAGAAAATGCTTACTGTACATATGGATTGATGGGCCCTATCCAATAACTTTCATCACTCCTCAAGGGCCCTTGGCACACAGGCTGGGAATCACTGATGTTGGTTAAGGTCACAATAGACAGGGGAGCCTCATGCTTATAATTCTGCTTGCCAAGTGGAAATGCTAACCTGCTCTTTCCCAGGATTTTAGAAAAACATTTGAAATATTTCACAAGATAAATGAAAATGGGTAAACACAAGGCCTTAAGGAAAATATACTTCTGGTGCATTTATTAAGCACTTGGATCTGATGCATGACACCTGCTTAAAACTCAAAGAATTATCACAGGCTTTGCTGAGGAAGAAAGAACAAGAATTATGACTGCACACAGGCTCATACTTCAGCAAGTCAATGTTTTTAAATCAATGAAAAACAATCCAGTGATTGTGTTTGCTACAAAGGGAAAGCAATGTAAGATGACATACAGTATTTCAAGCTGTTCAAATTACTGATGGCACAGTGGCAAGATATATATCCATTAAAACCAAATAGTTGTTTCAAAGTATGTTGGCCAACAGAGATAAATAATGTTTCTCTGAAGTGAATATAAAATAATGTCTCTCTTCAGAATGTAGGACCCTATAATGGCTTTAGCCACAAATACCTCTTGCTTATTTGGGGAATACGCATTTTCCACCTTCATTCAGAAATTCTTTAGTTAGCTCAACAAAATTCATCTTTCACCTCAACAAAAAAGCATGCGCATTAAGTATCAAAGTATGTATATTTCTACAGTAGGCTCACTGATGGTCTCATTCCTATTGGTAAATTTGTCATAGTGAATGAGTAAAGTATGAATAAATACAATGTGTTGAATGTAGAGGCTACTTTCACAAGAATATTGCATCATCAGTGGGCCAATGTTAAGAGCATGTTTGTGAGGAAGAGGAACATACAATTTCTCTTTTTTTCTTAATTCTTCTCTTATCAGCATTTTAATTAATAAACATAAAAAGGTAACACTGATACACAAAGTATTAAATCACCATCCATTCGTCTTTAAAGATTTGCATTCTCCTAATCAGTGAAAACAATTCTTTCTTCTTTATCTTTACAGAAAGTTGAAAGTAGCTGATATGGGACCACAGAATATTGGCCAATCAGTAAGTAGCATGTACCGACTCTAGGTGTCCAAAACTTAAACAGATTTGTTCTATACAAGGATTTTGTTGATACAAGTGATGATTTAAAAAATTACCTCAGTGCTATTTCAAGCTTCATCCCTCTCAACTATAACCTATACAAATTCTTATAACATATAGCCTAAAAAAGAGATATGTTAAATTTTCACAACTGAAAAAAAAAAATTCCTCTTTTTACTCCCTCCTACCATACTCCTCAAGAACTTCATCATAATAGTAAAGTCCAAATTTAGACTTCTATTTTCATCAAAAACCTGGAAAAATCCAAAAGATACTTATAAATTAAGTTTGATAAAGATACCAAATACAGAATAGTGGTGTTCATTGAAGGTGAGAATATAGCATGACAGTTTTTAAATAAAATGTGAAATGTAAAAAATATATGATAGTGAATGACTGTTGGTTCTTAGTCTTTTATTATTATTATTATTGTTTTGTTTGTTTTTTGTTTTGCTTTAAATGGGGTCTCTCTCTGTCACCCAGGCTAGAATACAGTGTCGAAATCAGTGCTCACTAAAGCTTTGACTTCCTTGACTCAGAGATCTTCCAGCCTTAGCCTCCTGAGTAGCTGGAATCACAGGCAAATGCCACCACACCTGGTTAATTAAAAAAAAAATTTTTTTAGAGATTGGTTCTTTATATGTTGCCTAGGCTGGTCTTGAACTCCTGGGCTCAAGTGATCCTCACGCCTCAGCCTCTCAAAGTGCTGGTACTACAGAAGTGAGCCACTGTGCATTGCTGATTCTTGTTCTTAATGAGGAAAACCACATAGGATACTAAAGATGTAAAAATAAAAAATGTTTGTATTGGATAATAGTATAAATATCTATAGGTCTTCATAGACAAATGAACCATTGGGAAGCAACATATTATAGGCATACCTTGAGAATATTGCGCAGTTTATTCCAGACCACAGCAATAAAGCAAATATAGCAATAAAGCGAGTCACACATGTTATTTGGTTTTCCCATGCACAGAAAAGTTACATTTAAACTATAAAGTAGTTTTTTAATTTTAAGTGTGCAACAGAATTATGTTTTAAAAATACATATCTTAAAAATACTTTTTTGCTAAAAAATGCTAATAATCATCTGAGCCTTTAGCAAGCTGTAATTTTTTACTGATGGAGGGTCTTCCCTAGGCATTTATGGCTGATAACTGATCAGAATGTCAGTTACCTAAGGCAGTGGTTGCTGTGGCAATTTCTTAAAGTAAGACTACGATAAAGTTTACACCATCTATGGACTCTTTCTTTCCCAAAAGATTTTGCGTAGTATGCAGTGCTGTTTGATAGCATTTTACTACTCACAGAACTTCTTTCAACATTGGAGTCAATCCTCTCAAACCCTGCCACTGCTTTATCAACTATGTTTATGTAGTGTTCTAAATCCATTGTTGTCATTTCAAAAGTATTCACAGTATCTTCACCAGGAGTAGATTACATAACAAGAAACAATTTTCTTTGCTTATACATAAAAAGCAATTCATCATCTTTTCAAGTTTTATCATGAGATTGCAGCAATTCAGTCACATCTTCAGGTTCCACTAATTCTAATTCTCTATTTCCACCATATCTGCAGTTAATTCCTCTTCTGAAGTCGTGAACCCCTTAAAGTCATCCGTGAGACTTGGAATCAACTTCTTCCCAAACTCCTGTTCATCTTGATATTTTGATTTCCTCTGCTAAACTGCAAATGTGCTTAATGACATCTATAATGGTGAATCATTTCCAGAATTTTTTTGACTCACTTTTCCCAGATTCATCATAGGAATCAATGTCTCTGGCAGCTATGGCCTTATGAAATGTATTTTTTAAATAATAATCTTGAAAGTTGAAATTACTCCTTGATCCATGGGCTGCAGAATGGATGTTGTGTTAGCAAGTATGAAAACAACACTCATTTAGTTGTACCTCTATCTTTATCTGAGCTTCTGGGTGAACAGGTGCATTGTCAATGAGCAGTAATATTTTGAAAGAATTTTTTTTCTGAGCAGTAGGTCTCAACAGTCAGCTTAAAATATTCAATAAACCATGCTATAGACAGGTGTGCTGTCAGTCAGCCTTCGTTTTTCCATTTATAGAGCATAGGCAGAGTAGATAGCATAATTCTTAAAGGCCCTAGAAATTTAAGAATGGTAAATGAACACTGACTTCAACTTAAAGTCACTGGCTACATTATCCCCTAACAAGAGAGTTAGGCTGTTCTTTGAAGCTTTGGAGCCAGGCACTGACTTCTTCTCTCTAGCTATAAAAGCCCTAGATGGTATGTTCTTGCAATATAAGACTGTTTCATCTACATGGAAAAATCTGTTGCATAGTGTAGTCACCCTTATCTATGATCTTAGCTAGATCTTCCAGATAATTTGCTGCTTCACCTTGCATTTTAACGTTATGGAAACAGCTTCTTTCCTTAAACCTTAACCAACCTCTGCTAGCTTCCAACTTTTCTTCTGCAGCTTTCTCACCTCTCTCCACCTTTGGAAAATTGAAGAGGGTGAGAGCCTTGCTCTGGATTAGGCTTTGGCTTGAGGGAATATTGTGGCTGATTTTATCTTCTATCCAGACCACTAAATCTTTCTCTGTATCAGCCATAAGACTGTTTCACTTTCTTATCATTTGTGTGCATGCTGGAGTAGCACTTTTAATTTTCTTCAAAATTTTTCCTTTTGTGTTCACAACTTGGCTAACTGTGTGGTGGGTGCAGGAGGCCTAACTTTCAGCCTATTTCAGCTTTCAATATGTCTTCCTCATTGAGCTTAATCATTCCTAGCTTTTGATTTAAAGTAAGAAACATGGAACTGTTCCTTCCACTTGAACACTTAGAAGCTATTGTATGGCTTCTAACTGGCCTAATGTCAATATTTTTGTCCCAGGGAAGAGGGAGGCCCAAGGAAAGAGAGGAAGACTGCAGAATGGTCAGTGGAGCCGTCAGAACACAAACATTTATTGATTAAGTTCACTGTCTTCTATGACTGCAGTTCATGGCACCCCAAAACAATGACAATAGTACCATTAGAGATCACTGATGGTAGATTACCATAACAACATAACATATGAAAGTAATGATCGTACAATAATAATGAAGAACTTTGAAATACTGTAAGAATTACCAAAATGTGACACAGAGACAAAAGCGAGTACATGCTATCAGAAACATGATACTACAGACTTGCTTAATGTGAGATTGCCACAAACCTTCAACTTGTAAAAATAACACTATCTGCAAAGCTTGATACAGCAAAGTACAATGAAATAAGGTTTGACTGCACTGCAATAAAATGAGGTATGAGTGTACTATGGTTAAAACAACACTGTGGTATATTTCCCTCTCCTTGGAGCACCGTTCTCCCTCATTGAGTAGGACTGACTCTGCCTTCTTATTTAGATTCCAACTCAGATGTCAGCTTACCCGGGAAGAGCCTTTCCTGAATCCCAAATCTAAAGTAGCCAGGCAGTCACTCTTTTATCACCCCACCCTATACTAGTTCTCTGCATTTTTCACACCCAGTATTTTCTTATTCTTGTTGGTTCGCTATTGGGTTTCTACACCCAAAAGGATATTACTTTGCTACTTCGCTAAGACATTGTCTAATTCACTGCTAGATTCCCAGGTCCCAGATGCTAGATGTTCAACAAATACTTGCTGAACAAATCACAGCTGAGGGGAGCTACTGTAAAAATATGGAGCATTTTATCTGATCACCTACACAAAATGATTTTGGTGATATTGACAGTAGTCTTTTACCTTCCTTTATCTAATTTATATAGTAACCCTGCAATTAAAACATAAATGTAAGAAAAAATGCTCTTTGTTAAAATTTAGGCATCCTTTTCAAAAGCTTACATTTTACACTGTAGCAATCATTTACACTTTAATGTGGATAAGGTTAACAGTTATACATCTGAAGGTTGTTTGATAAGCTATGGATGAGAAAAGCAGAAAAACTGAAGATATTAAGTGACTGAAAATAAGGAAAAGTAAAACTAGGGCTTTAAGACTTACCTGACAACTTCAAAGATTGTCCCAGCTTCTGTCCTGAGTGGGACTTTTGCATTAACAAGTGAGCCTGATGGAGGCTTAATGTTTCTTAGAAACAGTCTTCAAGTACTGACAGAAGATGGCCATCTGTTCTTCTGATTGCTGAGCCAGAACAAAGGGAAAAGAATAAAATGCAGTACAGAGGGTTTAGATTAGATCTGAGGAAGGATGTCTGCACAAAGTGAGTTATTATACAATAAAATAAGTTTCAGGAGAAAAATAGTTTTAAACTCTTTCAATATGGGACTCTTCAGAACTAATTCAGATTTGTATCCATAAAGGATGTTTAAGATAAAATTTTCTTTCTGAAGCCAGGAAAGCCAACTTTGTTGCTTTATTCCTGGAAGTGTTATCGATTTGATATAGTGAATGAAGATATTCAAAAGACCTTAAGCAATTAGAAATCCAGGGTGATATTTGCATATTCGATCCCACCTACATGACTACCTGTGACCAGGTACTTAAGTTACATTACATAACAGAAATCCACACATATATATTAATGATAGAATGACACATGTGATATATGCAAGCCTGTCACTATATGCTATAGCAGCATGGAGACTCCAAAAAATCAACCTGAGTATATTAAGCTGCTTTGTTCAATTTACTTGTATCAGAAGTCCTCTATTGTATGGCATAGAGTTGCCTGACTGTGGGATTTTAAGTGGCCTGCAAGGAAAGTGCCAAGAGAGGACACAAAATAATAGAGAAGATTGCCAGTGGTTTACTTTTTACTTTTCCAATGTTCTCCTTACAGGATTCTTTCCTTCTTTAAGCCCTCTCTTTTTTTTTTAATATCTAAATCTCCTACCCCCCTGAGGTGCCCATGATCCAAAGTTTGTCTTCTTCTATATTAATTTCCTCATTTACTCTACTCCCAATCCAAACCAGTGCTCCAATGAATGATTTCAGGTTTCTAAAGACCCCAAGAGCAAAGGTCTACTCATTTTGGTTTCGGAGCTCTGGAAGTTTTGTTTTGTTTTAGTGTTATGTTGTCTTTTCTAAAAGAATTTTGGAAAGTTGATATTTGCATATTCCATCCCACCTACATGACTACCTGTGACTAGGTACTTAAGTTACATTTGAATGCATTTTAAGTGACTGAAGGTCAAATGATGCCCAGCATGCATTCTGAATGACATTGAGTTATCAAAAAGCTTGCAATTGCAGAAACATACTGACCAGAGAAAAACTTCCCTGACAGAGAGAAAAGGCCAGTCTTTGAAGTGCTCATTGACTACAGACTATCTTAAGATAGTTCATTATCAGTGCACATAAGGACAAATATATTCTGGAGAATTTCTTATTTAGTTCTTGATCAATTGTATTACTATATTTTATATTGCGTACATATTCTTAAATTGGCCCATGAAAATAATAGAACAGTAGTTTTAAAAAACTGTTAAAAAGGAGAAATAGTTATAATGCTGATGAATTAAATTATAGCCCCTTATGCTCTCAAAAGCATAAAAATTAAGTTGATAGCAAGTGACACAGTAAACAAAGAGGTACATTTGTCACTTTTAAATATAATAGGAGAAATATAGTTTCAATAAAAATTCTGCCTGATTTTAAATGTTTCTCACTTGAATTTTATGTTTCTATAGTTTTGTTTGAAATTAAACGTTAGGTTTAATTTTATAGCTATATAAAATGTAAACATTGTGTTATGTTTGTACAATATTTAAGAAACTTTATATTAAATATAATCTGAGTCAACTATGAAGATCAAAGAGGTGTTTGGTTTTCCTTTAAAAGGTGGTGGTATATTATCTCAGACTGAGAAATGTTAGAACAGCCTAGTTCTATGTGTGTTAAAAGGAAAGGGACTTGAGTACTTGATTAAAATAACCTATACTAACTCTCCAAGTTACTATCATTTTAAAAGAATCCCTGGTAATCCAAACAAATCTCCCCTTGGACTTTTTGCCTTCATAGGCATCCTATGTGAAACCTAACTCATGGCTGTCACCAATTAGAATTGACTTCCCCGTGCTTCATCCCACATGTAGTGAAAGAATGGTGTTGATAGGTCATATTCATGAGTTTGATGATCCTGAGAGAGAGCTACACTGAAAAAAGTGTACATAAGAACCACCAGGATACTTGGGGGAGACACGCAAATTTAATTTGTTTGGGTTAATTCTGAGACTGTATTTTTCCCAAACACCTAAGGTAGTACTGATTCAAGGAGGCCAGAGTCCACTCTTAGAGAAACATGCCTTACCATGCCTTCATAGGAACAAGACAATGGGTACTTTAGATTTCATGTGACTGTGTATAAGTGACCATATAAGTGGAATGGACCAAGAATTACAATCGGAAGAATACTCGAAGCTACTTTGCTACTGAATATGAGTCAGTGGTCATCATTGTTTAGAGAGTTTTTTAAACTACAGAATAAGTGTAGACATATCTGTCTATTTTGCACCAAAGTTTTAAGCATCTTCATTTTTGGTACTAGAAGTTTCATTATCTAAGGAATCAGGACATTTGATTCTTGAGGCTTATTAATGGAGATCATATCCCAGCTACTCTACTTATTAGTTGGGTGACTATAGACTAGTCACTTAACTTCTTGGTGCCTCAGTTTATTCACCTATAAAATAAGAATGAAAATATGAGGATAATGAAGAAGTTAAATGAAATAATGAGTGAAACTAGAAACATGCCTAGCCACATAATAAGAACCCAGTAGATATTAGTTGCTGTTATTATCATATAATATCGTTTATTATTGCCATTTTCATGACTATTATATAAATAACAGAAATCCACACATATATATTAATGACTTCTCTCTCTAAGATATTGTGTTAGAAAAGATAATAAAACCCAAAATGTGCTCTGAAATACCTTACAAGCTAATGGAAGAATTTAGATATGTATCTAAGTAAAAAGAATAAAATGTAGAGAAAGTGGAAATTAAATGTAAGAGAAATGAAATGCAGAAACATTTCAGAGAAATGACACATTACTTGTGACCTAAGTAAATGAAAGAGAACCAAGGATGGCTTATGGGGGATGAAATATTTGGGCTGAAACTTGTATGACTGAAATATAGAGATAAAGAAGAGCTTTCTAGGTTAATTGGAGTAATGTAACAATGCGATGAAGGTAGGAAACCATTTGGACAATATGGAAAATTGTGGAGAATTCTCCATATTTGAACAATATGGAGAATATGTGAACAATATGGAGAATAATGCATTGGTTACTCTATGTGATATAGTGTTAAGGGTCCAGGGGAAAACAACTTAAAGATGAGCAGAAAAGACAGACTTGGAGTGGGTGGGGAACATGATAGCAATTGCTAAATACCCTGCCAAGTTTAGCTTGATTCTAAAGACTACTACAAGCTAACAAAGCATTGTAGAAATGGGAGTATTAGGGCAAGACTGGCTTTAAGGTAATTTATAAGGCTCCAAGGAAGTAGTTTTCAAAATGTGGTCCCGGAACCTGCAGCATCAGCATCACCTGGGAACTCATTAGAAATGGACATTCTCAGGCCTCTTCCCAGAATAAGTGGATTAGAATCTCTGGAAGTCCACTGTTCTATGCTTTATCAAGTAATCCAGGTAAAAGTACTCTATGCAAGCTCAAATCTGAGAACCACTTCTGTAAATTACAGAAGAGATTGAAAAAGAAAGAGACCAGAAGCTCTGGGATCCACTATGAATCAAGGAAACCAGTTGATGGGCTATCAATGATACTGAAATCCTATGTGAGAGGAAGTGAGGGCATGAGCCAAATCAATAGAGAGAGGAAAGGAGGTTGAGCCAGTAATATTGTAAAAATAATGTCATTTATACAATATATAATGTTACTATTCTTGGCATCTGTTAGTCTACAGCATCATTAATTTTTAAAAATGACTTATCAAAAGATAATCCTTAGTTAAAACTATACATATTATGTTATTAGTCAGAAAATATTAAAGTGGGCTAATGGTGCCAACTTCCCACTTCTACTTTAAATTTTTGAATTTCATTACAAAAGAAAAGAGGGAATATTCTGCTGTGCTACCATTAAAATTAGCATAGTGAGTACATTTTGTATGAATTTGACAATCTCTGTTACCAGTGAATCTAGAACTACCAATCTTCTCTTGCTAAAACCCAACTCTATTTGGTTTCACACTGTGATTTTTTAATGGTCTTATTTGTGCATTATTTCAATTTTCATTATATATTGTGCCATTTCGTATTCTCCATGATTATGTTTTCACTGAACAGATGCACTACAGTTTTGCTGCACCAAATTCTATGATCCATAATTAGATGTCAATATGTTTTCTTTATGAACTAAATACATTTTTAGTTACTTGGACATTAATTAAAATCACATGCTGGATTGTTACATCCTTTCAACACATTTTTGAGGAAATATTTTTGGTTTACTTGAATGCTTTAAAACATTCAGTTTTATACTATGTAATTCTTTTTTCCTAAGAACAGATACTGTAGCTAATATATAAATATTAATTACAGAATTATACCACAGAAACCATTAATGTAATATACCCATTCACACACAAAAGAAATGACACTTGATGAATTAGGAAAAAGAGTACCATTATTTGTATTTATTTTTATAGTAATTCTAGGAAAAAATAAATAAAACAAAATTTCACAATAATGGCAAACAATGACCAATACTGAACTACAATGGGAAAAGAAGCAAATTTTAAAATTCACCTACAGACCAAAAAAGACAGGATGAAAAGACAATGCAGAGCTCACACTCTTTAGTCATGTTATATTGTATCATTATGGATATTTTTAACTCTTCATAAGTTTGAATGAATGATGTACTCATCTCATGGAAAAACTGAGAACAGGTTTTCCCAAGGATGAAGAGAACATTTCTAACCTCTAACAAAATGTTGAAAAATCTAACCCCACAGAGTTGCTCCGCATATTCCAGGCATTCCCATCCATTTTTATATCATAAATGCAGTCTGAAACTGGTGAGAGGTTAGAACAGATAGGGAGGTAAATACATATGGAAATTATTATAGCATGTCTCTATCATTCTATCCCTGTTACTCTAAAGTTTCTGCATTTAAAGTTACATCCAGCTCACGTGAAAATTCAACAGGTATAAAACTTCCTTCAATAGAAGATATAGGGTTTCCTAACACTCATCCAGTTCTGGCTCCAATATATTGGGATATAAAGCTTTGGCTTTATGGAAATTTGTTTATCTGAAATAACTCCTCCATTTGAAGTTTCTACTGACTTGCTCCAGGGAATTTAATATATAGCAAAGTGATATTTATTTGGTTATCTGTGAAATATCCTAAACTACTTATATCTATACAAAGTGGTAAAGAGAACAGTAGTGGGTTCCAATACCTTAGCATTTTAAATAGTGAGGTGGTATTTTGGAGAATTTGCTGCAAGAATTGGGTCTATAAAACACACAGTCACATTTTATTAGTGATATTTATGTGCATACTTAATAATAAAGTTCAGAACCTGAGAAAATTAATTCTGCCTTGAAGGCTCCAGGAGGGAGCAGCAAGAAGTCCTTTCCTGTTGAGCAGAGATTATTGCTTGACATTTCTCTTACTTGCTGAGCAGTTTCCATGTTGACACAGCAGATCTCATCCATGTTAGGAAGGCAGAATCTCATACTCCATCCCAGACCTACTGAATCAGCTTCTGTAGTTTGACAAGATCTTCCAGGTGATTCGTATTGCACACTGAAATTTGAAGACTATTTCTTTGAGACTTTCAGTAAGTCACAATGGAGTGTTCATAAATCATATATTCTAGCATATCCAATGCTACTTGGATATTTGTAATGAGAGATGACTGGATGCAAGAGAATATGGGAACATATGTTTTAAAAAATTATTGTTCATCTGAAATTCAAATTTAACTGGATGTCCTGATTTTATCCAGCAATCCTATCTGGGATACACATGCTAACATTATTCCTGCCACTTTAAACATTGCACAGTGAAACTCCCTGGGGCCCTCACCAAAACTAACCTTTCCACTGGGAGAAGCTCTCATTGGTCTCTGTCCCACACAACTCTCCATAGTCAGGAATCACTAACTCCTGGCATGCCTGTGCTGAGAACATCCTTGCTATAAGGAATTACTAAAAAACCATGGTAACTTTTTTTCTTTTCTAAGTTTTATATTGATATTTGCCAGTCGAAAAGCAAATACTGAGACTTTCCTTTCTGGAAATATGGAACACCCACTTTCCCACTGAAAAACTTCTGAAAATGCCAGATATCTTCTTAAATTGATTAATTCAAAAGAAAATAAGGAATATTAAAAGTAAAATCTAAATTAAAGTGGGAAATAGAGTATTAAGCTAATTATTGAGGCTAGGTTTAATCCTGAAAGATTTACTACACAAAGTAAACCTGCGATGTTTCTAACATGATCTTCCAGAACTCAAAGAACAAGACACAAAGGACTTGTAAAGGCCTAAGGCCTGCCAGGGTAAGGAGTCTAAGAGAAAATCCTTAAAAAGCTGTGACCCCAGAGGTCCAATATTTATAAGTAAAAGTGAAGGTAAACACATTACCCTGAGTTTTCATAAGTAAAAGCTAGTTTTCACATGGGTTTGTAGCCTAAATTCACATGAATTGTTATTCTGAAAATCTTACACCAAAAACTGAATTTACATTTGTTCCAAAGTAGGTAATACACACAGATGCTATACAGAGGCAAACTGAAACTCTCTTGAGCACGTACCTTCATCTTGGACTGGAGTATTTCCCACAAATAATATTTAGAAAAAGATAAGATCAAATTGCATAACCTACTCCTACTCTGCCAAAGAAGACACCAAATGAGAAAACAAGCATAGAATAGCAGAAATGGATTTATCAGAATAAAATATTAAATAAATACATCTAATATATTTTTAAAATAAAAGTGGTATTAAAATATGAATATAAAAATTACTATGTTATTAAAGGAAATGGCCAAGCAGATTTGAAAAAGAACCAGAGACAATTTATGAAAATAAAACATGTAATTGAAATGTAAAATTCAATGGATAATAATAGATGAGGAATATATAAAAATGGAATTAGTAAACTAATGAGGAGTCTAAGAGAAAACCCCTAAAAATCTGTGGCCTCCCAATTGTCCAATCTTTATAGTAAAGGCAAAGTTAAGTTAATAACATTTATAAACAAAATCCAGCTTCACATGGGTCTGCAGCTTAATTCACCCTATTGGCATGCTCTGAAAAACTCAAGCTAAGATTTGAGTTTACAGAAACATATACAGAAGAAGAAAAAAACTAAGGTAGAGGAAATATTTGAAAAAAATAAATCTGAGCATTGTCTTATACAAATGAAAGACATCAATCTACATATTCAAAAAGCCTCAAAATTCTCAAGGTAAATAAAGGAAAAGAAATTCTCGCTAGACTTACAATAATAAAACTGCAGAACCAAAGACAAAGAAAAAAATCTTACAAGAATTGAAAAGCAAATTATTTGTCAATGAGTGAAGGGTAGGCTGATAGTTGACTCAATCAAAGCCAGAATTAAAGTTTACATTAAATGTGAGGACAAAAATAACTATGAACAATCAATTCTACCTATAAAGTTACTATTTCTTGAGAACAAGATGGCATAGGGTCTTTTCCAAAGAAAGCATGATAGATTTTCTTAGCACACAAGAAATAGAAAAACGTTTTTACTGGATAAATGTAATTAGAAAAAAAACCTATACCTAACATGATTCTTAACAATGAAATACTGAAAACTTGCCCTGTAGCATCAGAAACAAGACAATGGTACTGACTATCATTACGTCTATTCATGATTGTACTAGTTGTGATGGCCAGGACAATAAAGCAAGAAAAATAAATCAAAGTATATGCATTGGAAATTAGAAAATAAAGATTTCCTTAATGATCAACATATTAGAAAGCCAAGGAAAATCAGTAGACATATTATTAGAATTGATTAGAAGATAGCGTAGCAAGCTTGCAAGATACAAAGTAGCAAACAAAAAGCAATTACATTTTTATGCACGAATCACAAATTTAGAATGTACAACATTTTTAGTGTCATTTAATGTTTTATAGAAATATATGGAGCCTAAGGAACAAATCTAACAAAAATCTGTGAAAAATGTATGAAGAAAATTATAAAACTTACTTAAAAATTAAAGAATTAAACTAGAGAGATATTAAATAAATTGAATATTAATAAGTGGAAGGATTCTGCATCATAAAGATATTGAATCTCTCTTTTTGTCAATAAAATACAGTTTCTAACTAGATTTTCTTTATGTAGAACTTGACGAGTTGATTAAAAATGAAAGACTAAAGGACTAGGAATTGCTGACTCTTCTAAATAATAAATTGGAGTGTATCACTAGATTTCAAGAATTTTTATTTTTAAATTATTGAAATTAAGACAGTGTGGCATTACCTCAGAGACCAAAAAATAGTCCAAAGAAAATAGTCTAGAAAAAGCCCACCAATATAAAGAAACCTGATTTATGACAAAGGTGACATTTCAGATCAGTGGTAGAAAGATGAAATATATTGTAAACACTGCTGGGACAATTGGTTATCCATATGGAAAAAATAAATAAATCTGTATTTTTAACTCATGCCTTTCACAGAAAATAATCCATGGCATTAGGAACCTAAGTATGATAAAACTTTTATTAGATAATATATATATATTTGTTTTTAAGTGAAAGCAAGTTTATTAATAAAATAAAGGAATAAAAGAATGGGTACTCCATAGGCAGAGCAGCCCCGAGGGCTGCTGGTTGCTCATATTTATGGTTATTTCTAGATTATATGCTAAACAAGGGATGGATTATTCATGCCTCCCCTTTTTAGACCATATAAGGTAACTTCCTGATGTTCTCATGGCATTTGTAAACTGTCATGGCGCTGGTGGGAGTGTAGCAGTGTGGACCAACAGAGGTCACTCTCATCTCCATCTTGGTTTTGATGGGTTTTAGCTGGCTTCTTCACTGCAACCTGTTTTATCAGCAAGGTCTGTATGACCTGCATCTTGGGCTGGCCTCCTGCCTCATTCTGTGACTTAGAATGCCTTAACCTCCTGGGAATGCAGCCTAATAGGTCTCAGCCTCATTTTACCTGTCCCCTATTCAAGACAAAGTTGCTCTGGTTCAAATGTCTCTGACATTTTTCCCCTCCGTTTTATAAGAAAACTCTTAATGCTAAGGGTTGTAGAGGGATGAAGATCCATCTTCTATAATTTGTTCAGGCTAATTAGGGGGGATAACATTCCTGCCTAACTAATGGGTCTCTTGCATTCAAGATAGAGAAGAGCTCAGTCAGAAAACATCGGTATGGCATGGGCCATTTATAACTCTTAAGTTCCAACAAAAGGATATCTAGAAGATAAATAAGTGTTCAATTTAAGAAAACATTTGGTAAGCTTACCCTGTATTTCTACACAAAGAGTACAAGAGCAAAATATTCCACAACAGTAAAGTAAAATAAGTAAAACTATCCCAAGTAAACTAAATGAGAAGAAGTCTTTCTATGAAGTGGGCAACTGTTGGAACCAAGCTGATACGGGATGCTAGCTGATTCCAATATGTGTCCAGAATTAGAATACTGATCTTGATTTTTACATGACCCATCTCTCTTGTTTCTTTTGAGCTGCAGTCAGAGATTACTGATTGGTTCGCAGGAATGAGCAAGGTCAGTCTAAATTGCAGGAAAAAAAAACCAAAAGCAACTGATGAGACTGGAACCTAAAACAGGTGTACCATAGTCCTTGAAACATAACTTTTTCTCTCCAGTTTCCCATTTTCACTAAAGACAAATCATGGTAAGACTGACTTGCTTTAATATACTTGGCCTGATTATTTGTGTAAAGTGTAGCAATAATATTTTTTACAGAGGCTTTTTAAATTGACTTTGAACTTTGCTCCATAAAAGGAATTTCAGATAAGACTTTTTTTTAAAGCTGAACCCAGCCGTGGGTTTGGACCTTAAAATATCCATGAGTTGAGTAAATTCCTCTCCTCTTGAGGTCTCAAGATAACTTGGGGCTCCTAGGCCTGTCAAAAAGTGACATTCTTTACTTGCCACAGGTCAGGAACCTGGCACAGGGACTGTGTAGACAAGATACAAGACCAGTTTGCCCAAAGGACTTTTATTGGCTCTATAAGTCAAGTTTGATTCCTTAAAGGAAAGCACACCATTCCAGTTAAAGTCTTGGTAAAATAGCCAGTTTCTCCAATTGTGTCCTCTCACAAAAGAGAACATTCTTATTGCACTTATGCAAATAATCATATTGTCATTAGTTAAGAATATTTACAATTAGTTTCCAAATTCTGGATAAATCAGGTAGAGAGAAACAAATTCTGTTCACAGGAGTATACTTTACTCAATTGTTAAAAGCTGTAAATAGCTCAAAAGAAAGTATCCTTGACTCTGAAAAACAAAACAAAGGATCAACAATGTTTTAAGCAAAGTCAAAAAAGATTACTTTAGTCTCATATTAGTTCAGTTCATTCAGTCAACTCTGTTCTGCTTGATATTAATGAACATTCCAGCTTTCCATGAATCCTGAAAGTGTTTTTCCTGTATGCTAATGTCACAATTTTCAAAGTTTTCAGAAACATACATTCAAGAACACATGTCAAAGTCCCATCACTGATTATAAACCACCTTTCAAAGAAGATAGATAATATAGGAAGATATTTTTATAAACAGTCATGAATGAACTTTTTGTTAATAATACAAAAAGTGTAAGCCATACAAGGTAAGATTAAAAATTGGATCACATTCAATTTCTCTTCTTAGCTGAATGGTGTCTATTGTTTTAACATGTATTTTCAACATATATAACAAAGTACTAGAATCCAGAACTTCCAAAAAACTTCTACAAATAAATAAGAAAACAGGAGAAAAAATAGGCCAAATAACTAAACAGATGCTTCAGAAAGAGGAAATTCAAATAGTTAATAAAAATTAGTAACAAACAGCATTAGTTTTCAGAGAAATGTAAATTAAAACTACAAGGTAACATTACATACCTACTAAATGTGCAAAAAATGTAAAAGTCTAACAATGGCAAGTGTTGGCAAGCATGCAATGCAAACAGAATATTGATACATGTACACAATGCTTGTAGTATGTAAGTTGTTAAACTACTTTGGGAAGTAGTTTGAAGTTGTCTGTTATATTTGAACAGTTACAATTCTTATGATCCACAAATTCAATTTCTAGGTTTAAATCCTAAAGAAATATGTACACACACACATCAGGAGATGTAATTAAGAACATTCAAAACTGCATTGTTTATAATAGCAAGTAGCAATTAAAAATATAATATACAAGTAAATCAGGGTGTGATTATACAATGAAATGCTAGAGAGCAATGGAAAGTCAATTAATTACCTGCATCAATATATCTAAACCCCTGAAACCTAATACTGAGCGAACAACACTAAGTCCTGAATACATATGGTATTAATCCACTTATGGAAAGTTAAAGACAACATGCAAAAGCAAGCAATATATGGTTTAATGTTAAAAACATGCAGTTAAAAAATAAACAGAGGGCCTGAGCATGGTTACCAATGCCTGTAATCCCAGAAATTTTGGAGGCCAAGGCAGGAGGATTGCTTGAGACCAGGAATTTGAGACCAGCCTGGACAACATAGTTAGACCCCTTCTCTACAAAAAGGTGAAAATTACCTGGGCATAATGGTGTGCACCTGTAGTCCCAGTTACTCAGGAGGCTGACATGGGAGGATCACTCGAGCCTGGGAGTTTGAAGTTACAAAGAGCCATGATTGCACCACAGCACTTAAGTCTGGGAAACAGAGTGAGATCCAGTCGCTTAAACACACACACACACACACACACATGCACACACACACACAGAAATAATAAACACACACACGGAAATAATAAACAAGTTCAAAGTGGTGGTTTTCTCTTCATTCCATGGCATGGAATGAATTCAGAAAAAGGAGCACAGATTTGTGATATGGAATGATAATGTTCCATCTTGTAATTGTGTGATATGTACATAAACATCCATTGAATAATGATCATGTGTACATTATCTATATTTTATAAATATTTCTTAGAATCTCCTCGACATTTTATAAAAAGACAAAAGCATTAATATAAAGTGACTAATTTTATTAATATTCACACATTTCATATTATTGACTTTGAGAGTAATGTTGTACAAAATTAGCATAGAATTAGAAACAACTTAATAATGCATCAATCTGTATCAGGTAAAACATGGAAAAGCATTTAAATAAAATCTCTGATATCAGTCTCTACTTGGGGCTGTCACTGAATTCCCCTCCTTTACCTGTGCTTAGGAAACAATGAACTAGGACCCAAAGACTGTATGAAAATGTCCACAAAACGATGAAATGTTTATTAGCATATATGTTAATCCAACCAATATTTATTAAGCACCTTTATATGGAAGGCAATGTCTAGATATGTGGACTATACAAAAATACAGAGGATATTCAGGTCTTCTCCACCTCTCACTTAGAATTTCTAAATAACCTCCTAGTTTCTCTTCCTTTCTTCAACAAGTGCATTCCCAAACCATCTTCCATGTGGCTACCAGACACATGTTTCTACTACAGAGAGGCTAGCCAAAGTACCCAACTTATGATAAAAGTTTTAAATTAATTTCTCTGATTACTCTTTACTTGCAAGCCACTTATATTTCCCTATCACATTCAGAGCCCATCAAGTTAAATGCCTACCAAGGCGAGGCTGGTCATTTGATGAATGAAGCTTGCCAAGGAGAAGAAAGAAGATGAACAGCAGAAGCCCTATGTAAAAAGGGCAGCAACCCTATTCCAGCCAAGTGTTGCCTCACTAGATGGGGAAAAGCCACTAGTGTGGCTTTTTTTTGAGAAGCATGAACTCTGAATTTTTTCTTAAAATCACCTATGCCAAATGATGCCAATGAATTCATTTTCAAAAACACAAAAAGACCTGTTGATTTACAAAATAAAATACAAACCTCTTGACATATCATGCAAGGCTCTTCAAATTCTATTGCCGAATTGACTTCCTTAAGCCTCTTTCCACACTCTATGTTCTGCATTCACCCTTCTTGAATATGCCATGCTCTTTGACAGTTCCAAGATGGGTGCACATTTAGACTGTAGGCCAATCTCTGCTCCAGGTCTACTCACCCCCAAGGACTGTACTGAAAACCACCTCCACTCTGAAGTCTTCTTTAACACCTACAGGACAACGTCAGCCAGGGTTTACTATATCTGTCTCCTTTTCTTTGTTCATATACATACAGGCTGTCCCTGACTTTCATATTTTCAGCTTCTGAACAGCCAACACTTTCATGCATTATACATCGACACTCCAAAGTGCCTTTTGTATGCCAAATCCAGACTTTCATACATCAGCAGATCAACGAACATTTTGCACTAATGTGTGGTGGCACTGCCTGACAGCCAAGAGTTCTGTTTGGGCAGTCATGCCATCTTTGTCTGTAAGAGCAGGCTTTATATAATTATTTGAATATTTTTTGCTCTTTGCCCTTATTATTTTGCCAAAATGAGTGGAAAATGAACATTGAAAACGCTGGTAATAGTGATAAAAATCATAGGTCTCATAAGCCTAATACACTTGAAACAAAGATGAAATCATTAGGCATTCCCATCAGGGCACATCTTTAACCCCAATCAGGCTCTTATTAGATTTAAACCCAGTCAACTGTGGTTCAATTATGAAAGGAAAAAAAAAATAAGACTAAAGGCTCTGTATAAAATGCTGGAAATAAATTTGTTGAAGATTGTGTGTAAATGGCAAGGTATAATCAGAGATTATATCATATATTTTAGCTCTCAAGAGAGAAAAAAACTGTATAACATGTAAGTCTACTTTTTTCTTAATTTAACATGACTCTTTTATATGGTTAAGAAATGCATTATATATGAATCAACAGTTATTTGATGAGCTCTTTCATTGGGAATCATAGTGCTTTTTTACTATATCCTTTATCTTTGAATACCTTTGATTCACTTTCGCCCTCATTGTTTACCAGCTTTCACACCATCTTAGTATCCTTAGGGATACTAAGGAATCTAGCCTGCTCATCATCCACTTAATAGCCACCAATTCCAAGGTGGAGGCTGCAGTATATCTTCTGCCACCAACAGAGTTGGGATGATCAAGTTAATGGAAATATTGCACTTGCCTTGTGAAGCAAACAGACAGAACTTCAGGTTTTGAGGAGTGAGAGACAGCATTCTAACAATTTCTGAAAATCTAACTCTATGTGAAATAATATGTAATGTCACTTTATTTATCCTCATAAATACCTGTGCTTGTGAAACAACCATTGAACAGATGAGGAAAATGAACTCAGAAAGTTTAAGTAACTGACCCAAGGTCACACACACACGAGTAGCCAAACTGTTATTTAAAACCAAGTGTGTCTGAATCCAAAGTGTATACACTTTCAAAAAACACGATGCCTTCAGTGTATTGTGTTACAAATACTGGTCAAGACTATTGTCAAATGATCAATAGATATATTTTCTGCTTCTCTGTCATTTACGCTTATCCGTCTGTCTATAGTGATTTAACCTCCTTTTTCTGGGAAGTTCTAATGCAGTCATTACTCAAAGGGTTCACTTTAAAAAGAGCTACAAAGAAACATCTTGTTCTTCACCCAACAAGTGGTGAATTTTTCAAAGATGTTACATGTTTTATACAGTTCACTTAGAGCCAGTTTTCTGAAATGAATTCCTTTTGTTCTTCTTAAAAGTGAACTTTTTCCGTGTGCATCATCTCACAGTTCTTCCACTCAAAAGAGATTTTGAAATTTCAATAAAGCAATATACATGAAAGTAATGAATAGTGTATAAAATACAAGGAAAATTAAACGTAAATTTTCTGCTCATAATGATATACTGTGTGATGCCATGCGATCACAGCAATTTCAAACAGTTTTTACTCTATAAATGTGTGCTCAATACAGAAATGAATAACTAGGCACTATTCTTGTGAATGTCTTACTCCCTTGCCTCAATTTATCACTATCCTTTTCTTAAGATATTGCAATTAGTTCCTAGAAATCTAACAAATCTGTGGGTCTTAAAGGTATCCAATATCTACCTGCCCAAGCTGATTAGCTTGTTTTCCTTGATCTCTATATAGCATTTAATATGTGCATGGTTCTACTTTATTCCTGTTGTGTACTCTGGCTGCTCTGAAATGAACAACTTTCAAAGGATGTGAAGACTCTGCTCTCTGGCTGCAATCACTTATCTGTCCATCTATATCTACTTCTGCCAGCTGGATCCTTATTGCAGCCACTGCTGGTGCCCCTCCCAGATATTCAGGGATCCTTTTCACCTGCTGCTATAGGTGCTGCTGCTAACAGCTCATGAGTTCATATTTCAACCTTTTCAGACAGATAAGCCCACAGGGTCTTTTAATCACCTCACTGGAGGTGCCTGAGAGAAATACCCTTCACCTTAGGTGACCCTGACCCAATGAGTGACTAATGCAGATTACAAAAGCACCCCTCCTGAAGGCAGGACAGACTCTGTGATAGAATTTATGCTCCAGTGCTTCCCTGTAGGATCAGACTGAGGTTTGACATCTGAAACCAAGTCTTTATTTTGCTTCGTTCTTTTCCCTATCCTCCTTCCTCCCTCATGTATAGATTTATCCTAATCATATACCATCTGTTTTAATCCATTTTGTGCTGCTGTAACAGAATACCATAGACTGGGTAATTTATAAAGAACATAAATTTATTTGCTCACGGTTCTGGAGGCTAGGAAATCCAAGATTAAGATGCCAACGGGTTTGGTGTCTGATGAGGGCCCAGTCTCTGCTTCCAAGATGACACCTTGAAGGCTGCATCCTTGTGAGGGCAGGAACACTGTTCCTCACATGGCAGAAAAGTAGAAGAGAGTCAAGAGAGAAGCAAAAGAAGGCCAAATTTGCCCTTTTATCATGGCAATAATTCTATTCATGAGGGTAAAGCCTTCATGGCTTGATCATCTCTTAATAGCCCCATCTTTTAATACTGTTACAATACCAATTAAATTTCAACCTGACTCTTGGAGGGGACAAATGTTTAAACCATAGCACTCTCTTTTCTACTTTTAGGCATTGTCTTAATTGAGGCTCTACTTCAAGGAAACCTGATCCCAGAAAATGCCTAAAACCAAAACAGAGAGTATGTGGCACTTTTTAATTTTTTCCTGGAATCAGTGGTCATAACCCAGTTTACTGTTTGTGTGATTCTAAAATTCTGGATTGTGGATTGTTCCTTCCAAAATCTGCTACTTGTTTGCTGCATTCAATTGGAACTTAAAATAGATTTTAAATCCATCCTGGTAATTTCAGAATCATTCATTTCCTGTCCATCTCGTCACTTATTGGCCAAGTTTCCAGTCTTAACACTGCTCTACTGGAGTAAAAGGAAACCTAGTGGTATTGCCAGAGTGGGAATTTAGGGCCTTACAGCTTATGAACCTATAGGTGGTGTGGATTTATAAGCAATTAAAGAGACCACCTCTGATGGGAAGAAGGCTCAGGACCAAAGAAACAACATGAATAAGTCAATCCCAAAAAAGTAAAAATAAATTCCAAAGCAAAGAGCTTATGATGGAATCAAGAGACGGATCATGAAAGTTTGGGTGGTGAATTCAAGGCTAAGCTTCGTACAGATTCAGGAAACACTGACATATAGCACATACATACACCGATGGCCTAGGCGTATGTGGTGACCTTTAACAACTAAGCTATTCTGCACATAACTAGATGCTGAAATCCTATCTACTTTATCACACATCAATTTACTTATTCTCTTCTGGCTTCCAGAATAGTTTTAAAAACTATTCACTGCTTGACCATTCCTTTATCATTAACCTGACAACCTGTGACCAGTGCCCCTCCTCACCTTAGCTCCTATAGTTAAGACTCTTTCACCACTTCTATTCAATGTAGTACTGGAAGTCCTAGCCAGAGCAATCAGACAAGAGAAAGAAATAAAGGGCAACCAAACTGGTAAAGAGGAAGTCAAACTGTCGTTGTTTGCTGATGATATGGTCGAATACCTAGAAAACCCTTAAAACTCATCCAAAAAGCTCCTAGAACTGGTAAATGAATTCAGCAAAGTTTCAGGATACAAAATTAGCATCATAAATCAGTAGTTCTGCTATACACTAACAGTGACCAAGCTGAGAATCAAAACCAGAACTCAACCCCTTTCACAAACCTGCAAAAATAATTAATTAACTACTTATGGATATACCTAATCAGGGACATGAAAGACCTCTACAAGGAAAACTATAAGATACTGCTTAAAGAAATCATAGATGACACAAACAAATGGAAACACAGCCCATGCTCATGGATGGGTAGAATCAACATTGTGAAAATGACCATACTGCCAAAAGCAATCTACAAATTCAATGCAATTCCTATCAAAATACCATTATGATTCTTCACAGAACCAGAAAAACGAATCCTAAAATTAATATGGAACCAAAAAAGAGCCTGCATAGCCAAAGCAAGACTAAGCAAAAAGAACAAATTTGGAGGCATCACAATACCCGACTTCAAACTCTACTATAAAGGCCATAGTCACCAAAACAGCATGGTGCTGGTATAAAAATAGGCACATGGACCAATGGAACAGAATAGAGAACACAGAAAGAAAGCCAAATACTTACAGCCAACTGATTTTTGACAAAGAAAACAAAAACAAAGTGCAGAAAGAACACCTTATTCAACAAATGGTGCCAGAATAATTGGCAAGCCACACATAGGAGAATGAAACTGGATCCTCATCTCTCACCTTATACAAAAATCAACCCAAGATGATCAAAGAGTTAAATCTAAGAGTTGAAACCATAAAGATTATAGAAGATAACATTGGAAAAACCCCTCTACATATAGGCTTGGGCAAAAAGTTCGTGACAAAGAATCCAAAAGCAAATGTAACAAAAACAAAGGTAAACAGATGGGACTTAATTAAACTAAAAAGTATCTGCACAGCAAAAGAAATAGTCAGCAGAGTAAACAGACTACCCACAGAGTGGGAGAAAATCTTCACAATCTATACATCTGACAAAGGACTAATATCCAGAATCTACAAATAACTCAAACAATCAGCAAGAAATAAAATTTAAAAAAAATCTTATCAAAAAGTAGGCAAGGACTTGAATAGACAATTCTCAAAAGAAGATACACAAATGGCCAACAAGCATATGGAAAAATGTTCAACATCACTAATTATCAGGGAAATGCAAATCACAACCACAATATGATACCATCTCACTCCTATAAGAATGGCCATAATAAAAAAATTAAAAAATAATAGATGTTGGTGGGGATGCAGTAACAAGGGAACACTTTTACACTGTTGGTGGGAATGTAAACTAGTACAACCACTATAGAAAACACTGTGAAGATTCCCTAAAGAACTAAAAATAGATCTACCATTTAATCCAGCAATCCCACTAGTAGTTATCTACCCAGAGGAAAAGAAGCCATTATACAAAAAAGATATCTGCCCACGCATGTTTATAGCTGCACAATTTGCAACTGCAAAAATATGGAACCAGCCCAAATACCCATCAATCAATGAGTGGATAAAGAAAATGTGATATATATATATAGATATAGATATATAGATAGATAGATGCATAGATAGATAGATAGATAGATAGATAGATAGATAGATAGATATATGTATATATAATGGAATACTACTCAGCCATAAAGGGGAATGAAATAATGGCATTCACAGCAACCTGGATGGAACTGGAGACTATTATTATAAGTGAAGTAACTCAGGAATGGAAAACCAAACATTGTACGTTCTCACTCACATGTGGGAGTTAAGCTATGAGGGTGCAAAGGCATAAGAATGATACAATGGACTTTGGAGACTCGAAGGGAAAGGTGGGGGTGGCAAGGGATAAAAGACTACACATTGGGTACAGTGGACACTGCTGGCGTGATGGGTTCATCAAAATCTCAGGAATCGCCATTAAAGAAATTATTCATGAAACCAAACACCATCTGTTCCCCAAAAAGCTATTGAATTTAGAGAAAAAAATAAAGATTTTCATAGGTTAATATTCCTGAGTCTCTGACCTCTTCCATGTAAACACAACCATACAAAAATTGGGGTTTCTTGTAATCTTATGTGCCCCAAACTTTTCTAAACCACTTAATTATATTGCTACCCAAGAAATATTATGGTACATTGTAACATTAATTTTAACCATTAAAGTTACCTACAATTTTTAATTATATATCTACTTCCATCTCCTCAATTGGATTAGAGACTCCTAGAAGAGCCACATTGATATCCCCTTTAAATCCTAGTGTTATTTGCCACGGTAGGTTTTCATAAATTTTTAGAATGAATCAATAGCATGTGTTTATTTAGCAAGGAATTACTGTGTACCTACTATGCCCTGGGACTTTTCCACCCCTACCCGCTGATATAGGTATATTACTTTGAATAATATAAACAAAATATCTCCTCATGGAATTTTACATCCTATTGAGCAAAATTGGTAGATTAAAAATAAGCACATAGTAGTTAAGTTATATAAGGAAAATAAAAGAGAGAGGTGTGATAGCAATAACTTCTGTGCGAGAAGAGCTCCTCCAGTTAGCATGGTTAAAGAAGGTTTTCTTAAGAAGTGATGCTTATACTTAGAAATCAAGAACAAGGAGGAAGGGTATAGTGGAAGGAAGAAATAGCAAGTATAGAGTTCCTGAGGTAGGAAACAGAAAGAAATTTGTTAAAGAAAGAGGCAGAGGGGACTGGCAAGTTGGGTTCTATAAGATGCAACCTCAGAGGAAGGCATAGGAGATCAGGCTGAAGTGTCTGACCATTCTGCCACATGTTTGGGAACCAGCTGCCTAATTTGCAAACCTCAGTATAAAAACAAAATGTGGTGCCCCTTTGTTCAAAAATAACTGGGGGAAAATGAAGTTAAAAGTACTAAAATGTAACCCATTTTGCTTTACTTCTCAATCTCATTTTTAACCCTATACTTCAAATTGCTTTCAACTCAGTATTGTCTCACTATAAAGATGGAGTTTTTCCAATAATGCAATCCTCTCCTGCTTCTTCTTCTCCTCCTTCAGTGAATTACCATGTCTCTTATATTCTGTCATTCACAAGTATAGGAGTGATCAACAATTCTGAAATACCAATCTCCTTTAAAAAAAGTGCCCATCTTGTTTATATTTAGTTACTTCTAGAAGAACTATACTTCAAATTGCTTGAAATGTCTTTTTTAATTTGCTATTTAATATCTCACTCCTTCAGGCACAAGGATACTTGCTAGGCAAGCTGCACATAGGGACAGCGAGTTGCCATGACCTCTCCCAAAACACAAGGGGGTGTAAGTGTCCAAACCCTGATCTTTCCATGCCCCTGGTCCTCTCGGGGACTGATATAATGTAAATTCTGTTATTCAGAAAGACTGCAATATTCCATTGCAATATTATCACTTGCAATGGAAATACTGGGTTGTAGTGAAGGTAAGATCTTGAAGAGTCAAACACAAATGAAAGTACTTGAAACATACTTAAGAAGATACAATAAAACTAAAATAATTATGTAGCTTTTTTTTTTTTTACTTAAAGGTAATATTGCATCAATCATAGATCTAGAGATAGTCAAGACAGAGCTGATGAACCTCTTCCTATTCTTTCATTTTTTAAAAAAATAAATTTCTAGTTAAATTCCAAGATTTCTGTCTAAGCCACAATGTTTTCACTCAACATTTAATGCACGACCCTTTTGTGACAGGCACATACCTGAATACATTAACTCCAAAACTGAAATGTGGACCACAATATAACTAAAATTTATCTTTCATACAGTACAGTCTTTTTAGAATGAAAGTTTCATATTCCCCATGAAACAGGACTTTTAAATTCAGCATTTTTCAATGTCCCAAGTACTGCTTTATTTTAACACTCTAAACCTTAAGACAGAAGTGTTATTATTCTGCATTAGTAGATGAGGTAACCAAAGACCAGAGCTCTTAAGCAATTCCTAGAGTTGCACAGTGGGAGACTGAGCTTTCAACTCAGTATTGTCTCGCTATAAAGATGGAGTTTTTCCAATAATGCAATGCTCTCCTTCTTCTTCTTCTCCTTCAGTGAATTACCATGTCTCTTATATTCTCTCATTCACAAGTATAGGAGTGATCAACAATTCTGAAATATCAATCTCCTTAAAAAAAGTGCCCATCTTGTTTATATTTAGTTACTTCTAGAAGAACTATACTTCAAATTGCTTGAAATGTCTACAAGAAATTTTGAGTGTGATGTTAGTAAACAGCAATCCTTGCACATATCACTGGCTGTAAATATGAACCATAAATTCCTCACTTAAACATATAAAATCAAGCATGGAATTAGGTTATTCAAAGAGGCAAGTCTGTGACAATATTATTTACTATCTTATTTGCAAGGATCACATCTTCTAAAAACTAACTGTTGTATGTTTGTCTTTAAAGAGGTCTATAGATAAAGGCAGTGATTTTCTGAATACATCAAAACCCTCATAGCATTCCTGAGGATCTACTGATTAACCCAGTAGGATATTAATTATGAACACATCTGCCATTCTTACTTTTTGTTCTTTTCCTTTAAATAGGAGTGGAGTAATTCAGACATGTGTGTATGATTAGGTGTAGCTAGCAGTGCATGATGAGCTAGATTTAGATACATTTATGAAGCATCAAATACAATGAAACAGTTTACTGGAAAACAAAACTTGTACTGGAGATTGGAACTCTTAAAGCAGGAGAAAGTTGTTTTTAAAAAAGCTTAACCTTAAATAAAACACATATGTGGTGGGTGAATGTGAAAGAATATACAGCTTCATTGTTTCTCGAGAACAAAAGTATTTATAGTTCTTCCGCTTTGTGACTCATCTCTCTGCTGTAAAATATTTGGGCTATTACTCATAATTACAAAAAAGGCATCGAAGAGAATGGCTTGACGTTAGTGCAAAGGACAAGGTGAACAAACTGGCATTTTATTTGTGACATTCTCATTTATAAGAAGTTGGACAATCTGTTTTTTGACTGCTTTCTTTCTCTGCAAAAATGACTATAATATAGCACTTAAAATAAATGATAATTCATGTGCCTCTAATCTAAAACGATCAAAACAGGCAAGATGCAAACAAGACACAGAGAGTGCAAAGAATGCAGCATACTGCAATAAATTCCCCTTATATTTATTTAACAATAAATATGCAAATTTGAGATAATTATGAAGACATGTGCTTTGAGGAGCAGAGAGACTACTCAAAAGGTATTTTGTTCAATCATCCTTTTTCTTTTGAGCTAAGATGAGAACCAGAAGGAAACAGATATAATAACAAAAATGGAGTAAGTATTGATCATGGATGAGAAGACTGAGATAATATAAAACCTCTAACTCAAAAAGCATTTTTTTCTGGTAGATGAAACTAAGTGATTCTAAATAATAACTTATTAGTAGAAAACAATTAATTTTATAGCCTTTTAATGGTCCTTTTAAGGGAGTAGTACACTCCAAAGTGAAGTTAATCCTCCACAACGATATTAGTTTTTCTTAAAGAAAATGCTAATTAATAAATAGTTGCTCTGAACCATTTAAAGAATAGAGAAAAAATGTCAAAATGTTACTAACTTCCCGGGAACACAATTTTAATATTGTTTTTCATGAGAATTACAGATTTTTGCATTACTTACTCTTGACTACAATGAGTATTGCATTTGATCAATTATATTTCTAATATTTTGCCATTAATTTTTTCCTCTTCCAGAAAGATGGTATTTAGCCAAATTCTTAGACTTCCTATTCATTCTAAAGGACAAGCTTTCATTAATGTACAAAGGGGCCACTCTTTAATGGCACAGAATACTAGAAAAAGCTCATTCTGAAATATTGTTAGGTAGCTGTTATAGACTAGAATTGTATTAAGGGTGCATATCACATATCCATATCAAAATATATAAAATACATACAGCAGGATTCCTTCAACATGATGAACTATCACTGGATAATGGCTTTATCTCCAACCATCTCAATCGTGGGTATTACAATGAAATCTGAAAAAGGTGAAAAGCACTGTCAACCTTTCTTAATATTGTTGGAAAATGCTGGCGTATTAGAGCTTAAGTGGTTCTTGAAGAAGTCTGTGTGTGTTATCTGGAACAGCCAGATGATTCTTTGCTGTGTGGGGCTGCCCTGTTCATTGTAGAATGTTTATCAATATCCCTGGCGTTCGTACACTAAATGCCAGTAGCACTAGCACCACCCATCCCCCACTCCACCCCATTTTTGAAAATAAAAATTGTATCCAGACATTGAAAATCTCCCCTGCAGGGCATTGAGAACTAGGGATGTAGATGATTTCAACTTTTCTCTCACTAGCCTCATTGTCTCTTCCAAAATCTATATTAAGACACACATCAATTCTTTAATTTATGATATGGCAAACATTCTGAATTAATAAAGTGATTCATTGCAAAGATCAAATTAAGGATATGATCTTTTAATTCAAGCCTAATAGCCTTAAGATAGCCACCATAAAATTGAGAGAGAAGAAGGTATTAGGAGCAAAGACATTTAGCAAATTAAAGGACAATGTCTAAAAAGAAATCTGGGGTGGACTTCTGGAATATGAAACTTACTGGAAGCATATAGATTTGAAACTTATTAAGTTTGTATGTCAAATGCATTGCCAAAGAAACCACATGACTGGTTGAAAAATCATCTGTCTGCTCAAGACTTAAAACAACTCTTTGGCCCCCAGCCTTTCAAGAGCAGGAAGTGAGCTGAAAACGAAGGTGCTATAGTTAAAAAGGGCACATTCCTAGACATTCACTTCGCATGGGACTACTGAGAACAATGCACAGAGAAATAGAGCAGAATCATTACCTAATTAAGGAAATTCCCACCCATTCCCTGCCCACCCTCTCACTCCCTCAAGATAGGGGGCCATCACCTTATCTATGCAATGGGATTTCAGATGTGCTATGAACCAAGGACTATGGACTGTTTCCAATTCTTTCCTTTTCCTAATTAGAGTATTCCATTGTTGTGTTTAGGGTGGAGGGCAGATACAATTTGTCTTTCAAGTTCATAGGATGCTGGAAAAAATGAAGACATAGTTGGACCTAATTCAGAGGCTCTCATGAGTCCAGAGTTCCTGGACTTTAAGTTGGACTCAGTGACTGAATAAATTTTAGGTTATCTTTCTTTGGAGGGGTTGAGTTTGTTCTCTGAGAAGGATAAGGAAATAAGCGAATATTTTGTGACTGGGAGGTTGGACTACGGCAGAAACATTTAATTGTCAAATATCTGCATGATCTTCTACATTTCCCAGCCTTCTTTACAGTTAGGTTAGAACTACGTGATGAGTCCTGGCCTCTAACAGCTATAAGAAAAAATGACATAAATCATTTCCAGGTTGAGGCAGTTTAGAGTACAGTGATTCCTCTAAAATTCTCTTTTTCTCTTTCATGACCCCCTTGGAACCTATGCATGAGATGGTGGAGGCAAAAAAATAGAGTGAATCATGATCTCAGAGTCACTGCTTAGAAAAAAATCCCTGCTGCCCTTAACCAGGCTTTGCTGTTTTAAGCCACTGCAGTATGGACTAGTCTATTCTTTCTGATACAGTTCTCTAACCAAGAGTTCTAAGTCATCACAACCACTGATGGAGCCAGGAAATATGCCACTGCTATAGGGATTAACTACAAACAGAGCTGTCTACTGGTAAGGATGAATTTAAGGTTTCATATAGAAATTATTAGAGTGTATGTTGCAAAGACTTGAAAAAAAATGACCGTGTAAGAAAGATTTCAATAGACCACCACACTTGTTCTCCTCTCAGAAAAGGGATATAGCAAAAATGTTGCCTCTTGACATTATATTCATTAGCAGCTGGAAAGATCATTCAGTTATTTACATAGGATTTTCAAACCATAAGCATCTCCCATATCCGACCATGCTGTCATATTTTCTGCAGCAAAGGAAGAACTTCATCTCCCCAACCAGCACATAGTACCAAACCCTATATATACTGATTTTCCCCTACATACATACCTATGATGAAGTTTAACTTATAAATTAGGCACATTAAAGATTAACAATAAAGAATAATAATAAATAAAACAATTATAACTGTATACTGTAATGAAAGTTTTGTGAATGTGGTCTTTCTCTCAAAATATCTTAGCGTACTCATCTATTTTCAGACCACAGCTGACCACGGTTGACTACGGGTACTAAAACCATGAAAGTGAAACCTTGCATAAGGGAGAGGGATTACTTTACTAAAGGATCTTTTTGCTTCAACTCTCTCCATTTTTCTCTTCTCGACCTCTACCATAGGTATTTGAAAATTCTCCTCCTTTTAGGAACACTGTGAATTTGAAAGCCAACCACCCTTACTATTCTTATGCTGACAGCATCACATAAGACACAATCTTAAGCAAGTTTTGCTTCTGAGTCCTGGCTATTTGGGCCCTTGAATATCAGCGCTCCCATACGTCCCCACTATTCATTGCTCAGTTCCTCTGCCATTATAACAGCACACTGCATCAACTCAGACCAGCCCAATCAGGAGCTCCAAGAAAATATATCTTCATGCATATTTTATTAAATTGATCTAAGAAAATTTCAAAGAGACTCAAATTCCCATCTTGGTTTCTGCATATACGCCAACTTTTGTAAACATAGTCACATATCATCTGTGTTGATAGAGATACAAAATCAAATCTCAAGGTAGATCCTTCACTCGATGGATTTCTCAAGACAAATTAACACCTCCCTTTGCGCAATATCAGGTCACATTATGGAACATTAATTTTAAGAAAATAAATATGTGTCTAAACATGAGTGTGGAAATATCAGTGACTCTTTGTTTAAATACACCTTGACCTACGTTCCAAAAATCTCCTATAAACGTGAACTGCTTCATTTTCTCCATGAAAGTGGTTGTTGGAGTCCACAGTTTTAAATATTCAATACCTCTTCTCCTCTTCTGTAATATGTCTACCACATCCTTATAAAAATCAATTTAATAAAAGGGAAATATGAAATACATGTATGTACTTATAAACATACAATAATAAGATGCTGAATGCACAAATCCAAACATTTAATTCAAGAGAAGCCAAATGAAATAAAGAAAATGGAAAGTGGCTCCAGCATTCTCATATCCCTTTCTTGGGTGACCAACTGTTCTGGTTTGCTCTAGACTGAGGAGGTTTCCGGGACATGGGATTTTCAGCACTCAACCAGGAAAATCCCTCCAAACTGGTACTAATTTATTACTCTTCCCTTCATGATTATTAATATGATAACCTTAGTTCTTTGCAAATTGAAAAATATAAATATCGCTTTGCTTTTTATTTCCCTAAAGTATGGAAGCCAGATAAGATTTGTTCTCAAGAACTCCAGACATCCATATTCAATCTCAGCAGGTGTAAATCTTCTTTCCCAAAGAGTTTAAGTTTTTGGATCTCAAGCAGTGAGACAGGCCGGAAACTTGTCCTAGGGAATCAACTGCTCTCTGGTGGTTCAAATATATTAGCATAAAGAAATCCTCTGTTTCCCTATCTTGTACTTCCTGTCCCAACTCAATCACAAAATGAGAGAAAAATTGTAGTAGAGCAGGAGACTTTTCAAATCTCCGATAGATTCCTTTCTTAGCTAAACCATTCCATTTATACATCTTGGCAGTAGTCATTAGCAGTGAGAAAGCTAAAGAGACAACAAAAGAAAAATGTACAAGTCTTTTTCAGGAGCTTCTGAAGTGTTGAAAAGTGTTTCTATTTAAAAGCTCCTGACAATGATTGGCAGGATCTGAGAAAACTTCACAAGAGGAGCCCCACCCTCTGAGAATTAATGTTAGAAGAGCAGTAATTGGCTAACACCTAATCCATTCTTACCACAGTTGAGGGATTACAATCTAATTGTGACTTTCTGGTCCCTCTCAAATGTCACAAGAAGAAGGTGAACAAAGCACAGATCAATACTGAACACCCTGGAAGGACTGCAGAAGTTCAAAGAAGGAGATAAGTCTAATAGTCTGTATTAAACTGACACAATAAAAACAAAGGGAAACTTGTATTGATTGATTGAGTGATTATCAACAGGCCCATTAGGCTAGTGTCTTCCCAAGAACCTGACATTTAAAATCAAAAACAGGACAGGCCTAATTTTAAATTCTGCAATGAGGGAATTTAATTTAAATGTGAGTGAGAACAGAGGTGCATATATCAACCCAATTTAGTACAGACAGAAAAACAGACAGAAATGGAAATTACAGAGTCAGTTCAGAATAGACATAATGAAGCCCATTTACATTTGATGTAATAGATGTTTAGAATATTAATAGTCCAAGTGGCAAAATTTGAGGCTACTGACAGTGGGTGTCATTAAATACTGATTTTTGAATTTTATTTATTTTTTCCCAAGCATCTACTAAATTATAAATGTACATAACCATGAAGAAGTTAAACCAAAATTTTACCAATCAAGTCATTGAACTTAAGGCCCTAAACCAATATAGTTATGCCTTAGTGAACAGTCCTTCTAGTCCTTCAATAACCGGTAACTGTGATTCCCCAAAGATACTGCCTTGAAAGTTAATACTGAAAAAGTTGATGGCCATCATTATTATTGCAGGGAGAGGCAAGCAAAAAAAAATGTGTCTTTGACATTTATCATCAATTGCAGAACACAAATGTGTGAATCATTTATCTTTATCCATCGTTATGTAGTAATCAAGAAAGATGTCTTTCTGAGTCATTCGGTTTGTCAACTAGGCAATAGTACATGTAATCCAAACTAAAAAAGAAATTACTTGGAAAAGAAAGAGACTCCAAGAAGAGGAATAGCAGACATATGCTCAAACTGTGAGATTTCAAATGATATAAGATATAATATCTAATCACACATATAGAAAGGAGCCATCTCTTTGTAGGGGAAAAATGATATTTAAGCACCAGGTTAATACACAGAGATACTAGAAATGTTCTACAAAAACCATGTGAAGAAATTAAGTGATACAAAACAAACTCAATTTGGCATCAGAATTTTCCATTCAAACTAGAATCCACCAGGAAAGGCTGATGATGTCTGTTAGATCCTGCCACATGTTAACATGGAGTCACAAGTCCTATTTTGAAAAATATTCAAAACCAGATTGGACATCTTGGAACCAATGTCTACGTTAAAATAATAAAGACAATTTTCTACTTCCATTGCATAACTTCTTTATTCATTATCACACAGCAGATGATATTTGTTTTTCTGTTTCATTTTTTTGCTTCCTAACCTGAGCCACAGGCCAGATTCTCCTCCTCTGTAACTCTGCAGGGACTCTTTGATTTGTACCTTTTGTGTACTTCTGTTTGGCATTCTAAATATGGCTTATTCTCCTGGGTTTCAACATATTTCTTGGCACTCAACTGCAGACTTTCATAAATTGAGGGCCCTGGAATAAGGGGTATTTTTATCAGTAGGAGAAATCTAGGGATAGTATTGGTTTCCATCTATAATAACGAGGTATGTATGTCATACATTATATGTTTGTGCTGGATCTTATTTGAATGATAAATTTTATTATCTTGCAATTAAAATCATAATGTATTGTTTGTGTGGTGACTTCTTATCTAGATTAAAGTAGGATTAATACTTCATTGATATCATTTCAAAAATTACTTACCAAAGATGAACTACCAGAATTCTCAAAAACAACTTATCAAAGATGAATTAGCAGATGAATCTTTGAAGTCTGAGATTTCTTAAAAATAAAGCTGGGTTTCTGTACAGGCCAAATTACAATAACCTAGGCATCTTATCTAGGAAATATAATTCCTGAAATGAAATCAGATGCACTTAAGATTCATTCAATCTTTGTTTTTAAAAAGTGCTTTTTACGTTCCAGGTGTTTTACATAATGTCTGTGGAGTGGCCATGTGCTCTAGAAGAGTGAGACAACCTTGGCATAACCTTCTTTAAGAGCCAATCACATAACACTGTGAATATTTATAAAATTTTAGACCATTACCTGTTTCAGCTCCCTTTGATGATTCATGCTAAGGGTAGAGAACCAGAAGGTATGTTTTCCTACAGAATCATAAAAATAGCCAAAATATATTTTTCTTTTAGCCATGCATTTCAACATGTATAAACTCTCTGGATGGTATTTCTTACCATTTGGTCCAACTCTACTTCCTGAAGACACTGTATGAAAAGAACTAGTCTAATTTAAGAAAGAATCTGTCCCTGGTAAAACAATACATATAAAAAGGAAAAAAGAAATCATCTAATTCAGCCAACTTCCCTAAAGCCTTGATCTTAGAATCTGGTTTTTAAATAGAAAACTTAAACAAGAGTTACTATCCAAGTTATTTTGTTCTCAGTACATGCAGGGTCATTTTATGAAAAATACACAGAATTAATTTAATTTTAAGGTCAATGAACCTTACACAGTCTAAATAGATCCCTTCTAGGTGTTCCTATTCCACCTGGTGTAGTCTCAGGTATATATCATTTTCTTTCATCATCAAAAAAATTTTTATTTATAATTTCTATTACTGTGGTAAGTTCATCTTCAGAGAGAATTACCATAGTTTGTCTGGAGATTTATTAAAATATATATGGCCTCCCTGAAGTGTGAAAAAGTGAAATATTCTGAAAATAACTTAATTCACAACATATGTGCTCCTCATACATGGGTGGGAAACTAAGTAACAGAGGTCTGCCGTTGTCCTTTCTTCTGGTTTAAATCACCTCTTTTGGAGAATATTTGAATTTTTGAAAAAGTCTGGGTATTTATGATTTTCCTTTTTAATTAAAAAAAGACACACAAAGGAATTAAAGTACTATCTACAGACTCATCATGTTCAAATAGCAGTAAGTATTGGGACAAATACTCTCAGTCATGGACTCAACTGAAAATGATCTCATGATCAGAGCTAGGAAGCTATAGCACAAAATACGCTGAAGATTAACTAAAATATTAATACTTTCAGTCTGATTCAATGGGGCTATTATTTTACTGGAAATGGAGATAAAACTTGAGAAAAGCATAATGAAAGAACTTAACGAGGTAAATGTAGTGTATTTTCAATATTTTCAGTGGTATTGTTTGCTAGGTATTTGTTACTTATGGGAAAATGCACCGCAACATCCTAGGTCAGCAGTTCTTAAAGCATGTTTCCTGGACCAGCAATTGCAGCATCTCCTGGAAACCTGTTGGAAAGACAAATTCTCAGGCCCCCACTCCAGATCAGAATAGAACCACCACTCTCTGTTTTAACAAGACTTCCTGGTGGGTTTATGCACATTCAAGATTGAAAAAGATTGTTTGAAGTAATCATTTTTAGGATGTACTTAATTCAAATATAGATAGGTTCCTAAAATATTTTGTATATCACAAATAAAAATAATACTTAAATTTATATAGTGTTTTGTAAATTACAAAACACTTTCAAATGCATTAGTCTCATTTGATCTTTCCATAATACTGTAAGACAGACTGAGGAGGAACTAGTATTTTTATCTTATATGATTAAGTTGAGTTTGAGAGAGATTAACTAAATTCTTAACCTCACAAAGCTAGTTGATGAGGGAATTAGATTGGAATCTGATCTTCAGGCAGTAAAACAGCTATGCTGTGACTAAATTAAGGAAGAGTTGATCAGAATTAGTAGAGGTTCCAAAGTACTTAATATTTTTAATAAAATACAGTTTTGTTTTAATGTGAATTTGTTGAAGGACACCCATTGGCATCCAAACAATGTTGTCAATTCTTTAAACATTTTGAATTAAGTATAATTTAAATATGCTAAAAAACTTACAAGGAATTCAGATTGCACACCTCCATTTTAAATAGATATTCAGTTTAAGCTCCACCTCTAAACAGTGATAGATCAAAATCAAATTAAATAAATTCTAAAACTAGAAATTTCAGAGTTAATAAGTTTCTACCAATAAATAGAACAATCATTCATTTTTCCTCCTATGCAAAAAGCAATTAAGGGCCCCACAAGGCCTCAGCCAATTCTATTTTCACAAAAGCATAAAGAAAAACTTAAATTTGTGGTAATGTAGTCAATTAATTTTAAATATTACTTCTCCAATGGACAGTATAGGAAGTAATTACTCTTCTATCTGGAACTTTTTATCTCCTACCTGTTAGATAATTCTAGATATTGTTCGCATAGTCTTTTTATAAAGTGTTAGGGAATACATAACTTGGACCTGCTTCTTATATTACTTAAGTATATCTCTTCCAAAATCGTAGTGATCACAGTCACTTGATCTATAAAATGGTTTCTATCATGACCCAATCTCATTCTAGATCCTCTTCATAATTTTGAAAGAAGAATTTAAGGATATTAACAAAGTTGATACATTTTCAGTTCACATGGACGCTACTCAAGACATGGGGATGAATGGTATTTCTTCAGTAAAGCTAATATATCACACATCACAGAATCTGTGAGAATATCTGATATCTATAGAAAGATTAAAGCGAATTTTTTTAAGCATGTTTTTTTTTTCCAACTGTTGCAGATGTTCTCAGATGCAAATGCATTTCTGGAAAAAAAATATATGTGAGATGTTTCTTTGAATGACACAGGAGGACAATTTAAAAATCTGTCCTGGAATCTCTCAAATTAGTATCTGAGACCGGATCCTTGAGAATTAGAAAGGTCCATGAGAATTGTTTTTTGTATATTATCCCTCATTTTGATGGTAAGCTTAAAAACAAATACTTTACCAGTTATAAAGAAACTCTTTTGAAGTGATCATTCACAATTGAACAAACTACTTTTAGACATTAAACATGTGTTCCATAAATCATCTCTTCTCCAACCAGGGTTCAAGGATGTACATCCAAATGCACAATGAGAACGTCTTTTTCTTTTAAAAGGTGTGTTCATCATTCACCTTTGGACATCAATAATTGTAGCAATGTATTCAGTGCCTTAAACCTGATAGCAAGAGATGATAACTATAAAATAATTCTCCATTAGGAAGTTTAAATAAATACAAAACATTATTTTGGAAGCACATAGAAGAACATAGTGACAATGGCACAGTCTAGCTGTATTTTCATGTAGTGTCAGTGGAATCATTTTGACTGACCTCAAAGGGTGTACCAGTGGGACAAGATAGAAGAATCCTACCCCATCATGAAAGAGTATTTTATCACTAAAAGGTTGAATATTGCTGAGGCATGGTTATAACATAAATCAGAGTGATTTTATTTGGTTTTATTATTGTTTTTAAATTCTTTACAGACATAGATCCCTGGATAGCCTGTGACTGGGCTGGACTACTCCCACTGGTCCACCCCTTGGTGCATGGCTGCTGACCTTACCACATACAGAATGCAGTCAAAGACTCACGCCAGCTATTCAATAGACAGAGACTCTCAGTGGGAAAAGGAAGACCACTGTCTGAAGATAATCTTTAAAATAATCCAACTATGTAGAAGCTTAAAAATCCCAGTGGTAAAGGAAGGGAGAGGGCAATAGATTGAAAGTAGATGGGAAAATGTGCAGGAAACTCAGTATTCTCCATAATTGTCTCCAATATATTGCTACCTCTTTGTCTTACCCTATCCTCAATAATTTAATTTGTAACTTCAAAACTTTGTCAAGGGTTTCTAAGTAGAAAAGCAGGCCATCTCTGACATATCAAAATAGAGATAGCCAGGCATATTTGTCACTGTCAAAGAAGAGAATTACAATTATGGAAAGAAGGAAGACTGGAACTCTGACTGAAGGTATCCATATGAACTCATGGAAGGATGGACAGATAAGTAGATAGTTAATGAAATAGATACAGCAGTGTGTGTGTGTGTGTGTGTGTGTGTGTGTGTGTGTGTGTGTGTGTACAGGTGTGTGTATGTGTCCAAAACAGCCTAGAAACAATGGTACTTCAGTAACAATAACCACACCTATCATTCTTACTTTGGTTTCTAAATATTATTTTATACTAGAAGAAAACAGGACTTCTTGGAAAATTGGCTTATGCCAAGGTTGGGTCTGGGAAAATACAAGATGTGCTTGGAACATCTTTAAGTCCAGAAAGAAAGAAATCACTCCCTTTATCCCCTTCCCCCCCAAAATGAGGACATGTTAAGATACACAAAAAATACTTTTGAATGGAGCTCCCATTGGCCAAATCTGGGACAAATTGTGCATCGTGATAAATAATAATACAATAGTAATAATTTAATTTAATTAAATGAATATAAGAATCCACAAGTCCATTCTAATATAAAGAAGTAAATAGATAGTTTAAAAGGGGAATTGAAAAGCTCATCTCTATAGAAAAAAATGCCAAGTAATGAATTTTTAAAAAATTTGAAATTAGAAATTCACCATGTGGAAATAATTATTGTAACATTTGACTCAAGCACAAATGATCAATAGATACTAAAACAAGAGGGTGAATATTTGATGAGAAAAGATATTTACAAAGTCTGAAAGTATCTCCCCACAAGATACTTATTAATTATGGAGGAGGAGATAGTAACTATGGGAGAAAACTGGCAGATACCACCTTAACCAAATGATCAAAGTTAATTCACCATTAGTGGGACAAATGGACATCAAGTGCCTCCTGAGAATGACATAACATCACTTCATGGTATTCCTGCTAAAAATGCCCAATCTGAATCTAATCATGAAGTAATACCAGACAAACAAAAAGATTGAGGGACATATTACAAAATAACTGGTCTATACTCTTGAAAAATGTCAAGGTCATGAAAAACAAAGAAATACTGAAGAATTACTTCAGAATAAAAAAGACTCAAAATGTATGACAACTAAATACAACACGTGATCCTGGACCAGAACGAATATCTATTTTTCTATAAAAAACATTATTAGAATAACTGGCAACATGTAAGTTTTTTGTACTATCATTTACTATACACACACACACACACACACACATACACACACAATTATAATTGAGTATAGTTTTGTATAAAAGCCAATTTCCTGATTTGTGTAATTATACTCTGGCTGTATAAAAGAACATTCTTAATTTTTTAGGAAAATACACACAGAAACATTTAGATGTAAAGAGGCAATACTTACTCTCTAACAGTTTAACAAAAGGGGATAGGATGAGATTACCATTTAGGGAGTCTAGATGAAGTTTAATTACTTGTGCTGTTTTTTTCTGTCATTCTGAAATTATTTCAAAATAGAAAGTTAAGAGAAAACATATCCCTCCAATATGGCGGAAATGTAAAAGATGGCACAGAAAATTTAGCTGCAGACGGGTTAAAGAATAATCTCAAGAGGTAATGGTGTTATTGTCAGTTTTCATAGGAAACAACAAAGGAGTCTTACCCCTTTCCATGGTTTATCTCCATAATCCTTAGAATGAGCTCCTACAGGTAAATGCAAAATAAGCATTGAATTAGAAAATTAAAAATGCGAAAGTATAGTAAGAAAACATTTTACCATCTAAAATGTATTTAAGTATTTAAACCTAGTGAACAACATCCAGGCAAACTGAAAGGCATCTCTAAGGTTATTTGTGAAAAGCAATTTACTCAACAATGCAAATGTGAAAGTAAGCCGATCCTTGGTGAATTCTCTTAGACTACAGCATCAAGGAGAAGTATCTAGGTGCTACTCAGGAGACAAGCGGATGTTTTACTCATCTTCAAAAATGTAGATAATGTAAAGAAGAGAAAGTTGCTTGACATTATACAAACAAAATTCTGAAACTGATTACAATCTTCAAATATTTGGCACATAAAAATTAAAAAAGAGAGAGACAATTGCTGCAAGGATCACAAAGATCAAACTCAGCCAAACTAACCTTCTTCTTATTATTTTTTTTCTGAGAAGCTTCCTAGCTAGACATACAAGTCAGGATGAAATCTATACACATGTATTTTGCCACCAAAAAGTTGTTAACAACATTTTACAAATCATCATGAACAAGGTAGAAGGGTATGGGCTGATCCCCACATTCTAACACATTTGGCAGAAGGTAGGTTTAAAATCATTTAGATCATTGTTCTAAAGCTTGTTCAAACTGTAGGGAATGATCTAGTACTGTAAAGGATTCTATCCTATTCAGAAAGTAGACAATTGAAAGGCAAATATGCCAAATTTATTAGGGATGGCTTCAGAATTTAACTACAGAAGCACAAAAATAAAAAATATTTCCACAAGCTGGAATTATTGGTTGAAGCGAACGAAGCTATTGGTTCAGTAAATATTCTCCAGTTATAAAATATAAAAAATTTGGAAACTGCTGAAGATATAAAAAGTAAAATGTGTTATAATGGCCAACGCTGAGATGGACTTTGCTGATATTTTCATGATATTTCTTCTTATATTGTGTGTGTGTGTGTGTATGTATGTATTTTTAAATGAAAACATTCTGCATATCCATTCATTACTTCTTATATGCATATATGCACGGCATGCCTGCTAGCACCTGGCAATATTCTAGGTACTGGGGACAGTCAGCTATAAATAAAACAGACAAATACCCTTGAATTCATGAAAGTTACAGTTTAAATATAATTTAATATCTTATTGTCTTCTCAAGATTATAATGAAAGGGTCTTTCATGTTATTAAATATTTTTAAATGGCAGTAAATAACTGCAATGTTTCATTGGTGGTATGTATGACTCATTTATTCATTTTCTTATTGTTGGATGTCTAACTACTTTGAAATTTTATTGTCATAAACAATGCTAAGCTGTTTTGTGCATAAATTATTAATTATATTCCTCATTTATATTATTAGAATATGACCCAAGGAATGTTATTAATGATCACCTCTTCCTCTTTATTTTCCATGGCTTCTGAAAAGATTGTAATGACTATACTTATACCTAAACAAGTAATAAATAAATGCATTTGGCTTCCTTACCTTGAGTATTGAATCAACATTTGAAAACAAAGTAATCAACCTTTGGCAATTTGGTGAGTAAAAAATTATATTTTATTAAGCTTTCACTTTACATTTTTATTGTAATTGAGGACTAAATTTGTATATGTGTATTGGACATTAGTCTTCACTATTTTGTAAATTATCTGTTTATTTTTTACTGTTAGTAAGTGGAATGCTCATCTTATTTACATTAGTTATAAGCACACTCTATATAGGTAGGAAGAATAATCATTTGACAAGATGAACTTCAATATGGAAAAATTTTAAAAACAAAATTGAGGGTTGCGTTAATCTCTCTCTCTCTCTCTCTCTCACACACACACACACACACACACACACACTATACAAAAGCAACATGGAGAATTTCTGACCTAATTGTACTTTATTTTGATTTCCAAATCTAAAGTTTTCAGATCATATAAAAGTAAATGATGACCAACACTGAAATACATGAAAGAAAAAAGCCCTTTTATATTTTTTATATTAAGAAAAAGCATGTGTTCAAATGTGGGAGTTAACAGTTTTACTCTTCTTTAAATGTGAAAAAAGCCCACTCATATTTGGATGCACATTTTAAGTGGGACATTGACATACAAAGGCTTTTCTGGAGGAGAGTGACCAGAAACAGAATACAATTTAAAATTATATTGTGTCAGGATAAGTAGAAGTGGGAATACTTATATTTACAAATGTAGTTTTTTTCTCTTTCCCACTCAGAATAGGAAGGTAGTGTGTACCAGAATAGTATAATTTTGTGACCCTCTAGGGCCTTGAGCTGTGACAGCCTCTATATGTGGTAGAATTTTAAGATGATTATTGAGTGCATGTATAAATGAATGAATTAATGAATCAACAAGTGAGCCAAGATCAATGAGTAGAAGTTATGGTATATGCGTTTTTCACCAACTTTCTAAGCATTAGATTTTCCCAACAAAGGATGTGCTTCCTTAAGCAATAGTGAGCACCGTGAGATTCTGATGCAACTGTCAAATATAGAGAAGAGATTGGGTAGATGGAGAGAGAAGCCAGCATTCAGCCAAATATTTAGTAAGGCCACGCTTACCTTCATAACTTTTAAACTCTTTGAGAAAAGACAACTATTATATATCATTTAAAAGTCAAAAAAGAAATGAATAGAATTAAATGGGAAGCTGAGAAATAACATAGAAAAAAATTCTATGATTTCAAGCCTGAGGTGAAGGCAAGAGGTTGAAGAAGAGATTATTTGAAAGCAGAGCATTTGAAACTCTATTTCAAGTGGGAAACCTGAGTGTCAAAGGCTCAGATTTTAAAATATCTTGAAATAATTTAGATCAGTGTATACCACTTTTGCATTATAGAATGGAATCATAAATTTGAATGTGATACTTTGCCAAAATGTTGAATGAATAGAAAATGTTAGTGAAGTACATTTCATTCATATTCAAATTTGGGAGGGGGGGTTCTGTGGATAATAAAAAATAATAAATATAAGGTAGGTTCTTATTATCAGTAGGATTCATCATTAAAACATAGCTGGCTTGATAGAATAAGTTATTCTAGAAAATGGGGGTATCATTGACATAAGACTCTTCCTCTAAACTTTTATACCTAATACATTAACTGCAATCATGTTTCCAGCCAAATTAATCAAACAGATATATAAACTATTTAAGACGTTTGAGTAGGAAAGCCAGAGCCACTCTTTGTAGGCTCAGTCTGCCAAAAACCATTGGAGGCGTCTCTATTTCTAATATTAGATACTACAATTGGACCTCCGCCTCCTGCCTCCAGATAACTACTCAGTAGGGCCGACTTTCAGCTTATGTGAAGATAGAGGAGAACAGGATTTGTGACATTCTGGGATTTTGCCAGAATTTAGTAGGTGGTAGAACTAAGGCTGAAGGCCAAGTGACAAATCCACTAGATAGCTGCACAAAACATACCCTCATGCTTTTGTTGATTAAAGTGTTATATTATTTTTCTGAGCATGGGGGTAGGGAGGAAATAGTCTACTTTTTTGAAAGTGTCTCTCCAAGAAAAATAATTCCAAGTTAAGGCTGGTATACTGTGAGGGGGAAAAAACTAAAATAAAAAGCTTAGCTGTAGTTCATTAACTTTAATTGGTTTTTGTTGCCTCTCCTCAGGTTTCCTGGATCTTTCAGCCATCTCCTCCCCCAACTCTCTGCTTCCCCTTCTTCTACCTCTCGCCTCCTCCCCCTCCAATCTGGCTTTCCCTCCTTCCTGGCAGCATTTTTAGCTTTAATTTGATAGTAAAAAACTGAATCCAAAGTTACAAAATTCTTCAGATTCAACTTCTTTGAAAGAAAAAGAAGTTTTAGAAAAAGAATAGATATCGCAGCTTCTAACCAGAACTCCTTCCGAGGCACATGTCCCCCACATGTGGCAGGTGCCCTATGAAGGTGAAACAGATAATATTCATTCAGGAAATATTCCCGTATTTAAAAATGGGTTTTCTTTTTTAGCTCTTAGAACAGCCACTTTTCTGGGCCCCAGAGATAAGAAGGGAACAAAACAAAGTCCCCATTCTCATTAAACTTACGCTCTACTGGAACAACAGACAAAAACAAATGACCAAACCAACATATTAAAAATGGTTAGTGATAAATACTATGAAAATACATAAAGCAGGGAGAAGGAATTAAGAGTGTTGGGATGCTACTTTTGAGACTATGGTCAACAAAGGTTTTTCTGAGTGTGTGATTCTTGAGCAGGTGCTTAATGTGAGACTATAAGCCATGTGACCTTCTGGAGGAACAGCATTCTAGGCAAGGGAACAGCACATGCTGCAGTAAAAGGGTCAATTTATCTGGAGTGCAATGAGCAAGACGGAGATGGGAGAGAAAAAGCTCAAAGATAAATGAAAGAAAAATATTTAAAAATTGAATAGCTTTTACATTCATCTTTTACCATTAGAGAGTTATCTGTATGCTTAAGTATTCTGCAATAGCCACCAAATCTATAAGGCTCAGAATAATTGCTATATGGAAATTTCCTGAGCATTTAATTCTGAAACACATGCCTTTTAGATCTCCGCTTCAAAGTCTCTACCCCAATCATTACAGAAAGCTAATCTTTTCAGAGTCTTAATTCAAAAATGAGGTGCTAATTTTGGTTTCAGGGTAAGAAGGAAGATGAGACTGAAATGTATACCTGAACAATGTAGTTGATTCTTATTTACAGATAATTGACCCATCCAAATTTAATTTTTAAGTGAATTTGCATGAACTACATATTTCTTCCACCTTTTATTTCTACTAAATCCCATATGGTTGGAGTCAAGTTGATTCAAACATAGTCCATAACACCTTAAATACCCACACATGCAGACACACACACACTTACAATTTTTATACTCAAATAGAAATGTATGTGTATGGTATGTGTATCTGATACCCCAAGCCCATGAGAAACAAGATTGTTTTTAATTGTAGCTTCAGAGAATGTAAGCACCTGCCTTTTTTAGATTCACTCAGAACTCCCCAAATATATAGATTACTTTCAAACCAAAGCAAAGGGAAGGGAATGTTAAATTGCTTTTAGGTGCACTGGATGATTTCCATTAGTCTTCACTTATTTTAAGCCCAACACACACACAAGTGCTAATTTTCATCACTAGTGTAGTCCAACCTGATCTACCCAGGCATAATTGCACCTAAACTTCAGACTTAATTCAATGCTTCCCAATGGAAGTAACAGCCAAATTTGGAAAGAGAGAAAAAAATTTGGAGAAATAAAACACTGCAATAATGGCTAGACAAAGAATACTGCTGTGGAGAACTGTGTTCTAGCTCTGGTACATGACCATTGGAAAGTTATTTCACTTCTGTATATCTCAGTGTCCTTATCTGTATATCTGTATAATGAGCATATGCTTAATTGATTGATGATTTTTAAGACCTAGTTAAGTTTTAAAATGCTATCATTGAACTTTAACGGGATTCAAAAAAGATGAAAATAAATTCTTAGATAATAAATCTATATCAATAATTTATTTTTCCTTTGTGACACTGTATTAAACAGAATGCTGGTTAAGACTGGTAATTGCTCCTTACAGAAAACAGATTTAATGTAAGAGTAAGTAGGAAAGTAAGAGAAAAATGGGGAGAGATTTTGCAAAGAAGAGATAAAGAGAGCTTGGAAGGTGAACTGAAAACAAAATCTGTAGCGCAGTACCCACTGAATTATGAGAGTAGAACAAGAAAAGCAGAAGTCTATGTGGTTCAACACTTGAGAAAGAAGTCCTATTAATAATAGCAAAAGCAGTATCAGGAAATGGGCCTTTTTGAAGGTAATTAGGTTTAGGTGAGGTCATGAGTGTGGACCCCCATGATGGTATTAATGCCCTTATAAGAAAAGGAAGAGACATCAGAGATTCCTCTTTTTGGCATGTGAGGATACAGAGAGAAGGCATCTATATGCAAGCCAAAAGAGAGCCCTCACCCAGAACCAAATCTGCCAACACCTCCATCTTGGACTTTCCAGCCTCCAGAACTATGAGAAATAAATGTCTGTTGTTTAAGCCACTCTGTCTATAATATTTTGTCATAGTGGCCTGAGCTACAACATATTCATTGTCACATTGTTCCATGAGCCATTGAATGAGAAAGTTTATCTATTAAATGAATTTAGGACCCAAATGCTGTGTATTTTTATTTGCAGTCCTTCAGAGAGAGAAAAACTCCCTTAGAAACCCATATTAAAAGAAACGTGCACATGTATCCCAGAACTTAAAGTAAAATAAAAAATAAAAGAAAAGAAAAGAAACATGGGGAAAAAGGAGCAAGAGGAAGTTGAGAAGAAAATTCAAGAAGGTGGTGCTACAAGGGCTTCTCAATTTTGTACTTTTTCCTTTCAACATTTTCTCTCCTGGACCCAAGAAACATCAAAGGACTTTGTATTCTCCAGTGAATGAAGGATAAAAATTAGACATGGAGACACTTGGTTTGGCAGAGCAGGGTAAGTATTCTAAACTAAGGGGTTGACACTTGAAAGTTTCTTTGTCCAGAGACCACTATTCCCTCCAATAACAAATGGCTTGTGTTTGGCAGAAGTAATGTTCAATCTATAACCATAGATGAAATAGAAATGGTCACTCACATCAAGGTTTTTGCAAAAGTGAATAATTGGCCAGGTGTTTTTTTAAATAATTCTTAAACTACTCTTTCTGTGGATCTATGTTTCCTAGAATTTTCTCCTTCTTAATCTCTTCAATCATATTGAACCTAGGCCTTTGTCCTCACTATCAAGGACAATTGTCAGGAAAAAAATCTGACTCAATAGCAATTTTATCTTTTCATTCATTTTCTTATTCACTCATTCTTTTCACTCTTGGTTATATTTCCATTTTAATAGGATCCAAGCTAGATAAATTACATTCCAGAAGTGGGATTTCAGATAACATTCAGCGTGGAGTGCAGGAGTTGAAATGGTGAGGGTAAACAAGGAGACAAGTTCAAAGAGTGAGTGAATCTAATTGTGATATTGGATATCCCAAGATATAAATAGCTTACTATTCTGCCCAAGGAGAAGATGTGCCATGAACACTGAAAACTTGCTCCTGTCATCCCCCAAGTTATAGGTTCATACATGAATAATCAGTCTTAGAAGTATAAAATTGCAAAATATATTTTTGAGAAAAATATATTAATAGTAAATTATTATGTCAGTAGCCACACATAGGGATCAAAGCTATTGAAAAATGTATTCTTATACCTTCATCTCATGATGTGTGTGCAGCTCTGTGCAATGAGAATTGTAATAATGACTTTTAAGAAATTTTGTCAATAGATTTGAGAGAAATGCTTTACTTTGACTAGATATTTTAAAGCTAGAAAAGAAATAAAGACCCCAGTAAGGGTAAGATTGAAAGATAAATAAAACTTTTCATTTTCTTATAACACTTTTCCTCAAATACATTTATGAATATGTTTTCCTACCCCTATAAGTTTTAGTAAACATGAATCAGATTTTAATGATTAAGAATATCACGGTACTCAAGATTACCATAGCATATATGAAATTATTCTCATTCAGTAGTGAAACTATATTTGTAGTAGGGATAAGAGGTTGAGTTGACTGATTTTCAACACCAGAATATACTCTTAAAAACTATGTGCTGTTACAATTTGGTTTTATCATTATTTTCCTTTTTCTTATAAAAATAGAACTCTTAATTAAAGGTTCCAATTAATAGTCAAACAATTGAGAAATGAACACACACACACACATATATATGCATATGTGTACATCTATGTATGTATGTATATATTTCTTTTATAGTTCTTCATAGTGCCTTACCTGGTGTTCTGTATATAGAACACACGCAAATTGTTGTTTTCTGAAAGAATAATGCTTCATCAATGTGGGCTCAATATTTGTCTCAATGGTACCAAAAGTCTCAAGTCTTGATGGTTGACAATTTCCAAGGCAAATTCATGCTAATAATCTTTGTTACTGCAGCTCTGATCAAAAGAGCATAGGCTTTACACCGGGGTTCAAATTTTGGCTCTGTTAATTACACATTTTGTGGCCTTGGGCAAGTTATTGAAATTTACTGAATTTTAATTCTCTCATCCATAAAATAGGGGTAATAGTACATGCTTCAGTGTGTTGTTCTGAGGATTAAGTAAGACAGTGTGTATAGAACAGCTGAAAGAGTGTCCATCTTGGAGTAGATGTTTAACTGTTGTTAAACTCTTTTCCCTTTTTTTCCTTCCACAGAGGTGGCTGAATATGCATGGCTTTTATTTACAATATGCTATTGTAGGGTTAGTCATTAGAGAACTTGAGGACATAGGATCAGTTTTAGAGCTAATTAACTGCATGTTTTATACTCTAACTTCTAAAGTCACGTATCACTCTTTTATTGTCTAAAAACAACTGTACTCCTCATCATTTCATGAAGTTATCACAGAGGTTTTTCCCTTTAACCAGTCTCAACATTGTTCTTTGAAGTGTGTCATACACATTCTTGCTTTTATAAACTAAATATTACGAATATAATCTTTGTATCAACAAATATATTTTAAAAGATTAGTCTTTGCCAAGCAAGATGGTTAACTATTGGATAAAAAGATTAACAAAGACAAAAAAGCAGTCCCAGCCCTCTCAGAATTCACAGGCCAGTCAGAGAGATAAGGATGTGAGGAAATAATTATGCTACAAGCAGGCCCATTCCTAACATTTGCTAGACCTGAGAATGAATATGAATAGAGGCCCACATACCAGATGCCTAAATATTTAAAAGTTACGAATTAAGCTAACAAACAGTTGAGTAAAATATGTTTTATTTTGATGCCTTGACAAATATACCTTCTTAACAATATGACCTACCAGGTTCAAGTTTAGAATTCCTGGATTCTTTAGAGATCAAGGCTGGAAAATAATACCATCAAAGAAACTGTCCTCCAGGCCCAGGCCTGTATTGTTCCTTAATTCTTACACTACCCCATTCCCAATTCTGCCTTTTACCATGAAAGCCCTTGGACACATGCGTGTGGACACCCTAGGCAACAAGTTTAATTTCCATCCACAATACACATTCTCTTCATCCTTCAGACCTAGTGGTGCTTGCACCAACTACATGGACAACTCTCAGATGCAAAGACCCAGGAAAACGATTCCAGGCAGTTTCTCCAAGGGGATTGTTACTGTTTGGGTAAAGAGTTTTATAATCCCAGGTATTCAGAGCATGATTCAAAAAGAGAGAGGCTAGGACTTTGGGTAGCACACCCCTTGGACCCCAAGATCGTCTCTCCAGCTAGAGGAGGGCCAGAGACCTTTAAATCAGGGCCCTTCTCATCCAGGTCTGGGGATGGCACTAACTACAGCTATCAAATACGGGTGTCCACAAAAGGCCAGTGGATCTCTGAATAGGAGAGTATAGCTTTTCTTCACAGGAGTGGGAGAGTTTTCAGAGAAAAGATGGCATTTGAGCTGGGTCTTACAGCATAAGTGGGAGTTTACTGTGTAGAGAAAGGAGGGACGGGCACTCCAGGAAAAGTAACAGCATCTGGGAAAACAGAGTTTGAAAGAGTGGCATATTCAGAGAATAGTGCGAAGCTCCTCGTCACTGAAGCGTAGGGGGCATGTGGGAGATGAGAAGAGATGAAGGTGGCAAGGTTTGTAGAGGGAAGACTGGGGAAGCGTTGATCATGATGAATGTTGCTCTCCCAGAAGCCATTAGAGATGATACAATAGTAGCATGGTACACTTTAGCACCAGCCTTGTGATTTGAGAGAGGACAGCTGACAGTATGAACTAGCACTGAGGAGATCAACTAATAGGTAGTTCCTCCCAGAAAAAAATCATGAAGCAGAAGCCCCCTGCCATCAATCACTAAGAGGATATGCATGCATGTTCTATAACTTATGAGACTGGATGGGGAGCATGAAGAAGGAAGAATAAGGTTTCAAATGTACGGTCACCCCCAAAACAAAGCAGTGAGAACTGAGACATAAAATTAAGAGATACCTAAGAGGAGCAATCAGTAGGACTTGGACGCAGAATGGGTAAGGAAGAGAAGGTTAGGACTAAGGAAGGTATGATGATGGTTCAAGCTTTGGTAGGCTATGATGCTGTTAACTGAGATGAGACTACGGGGAGAGGAGCAGGTTTTCTGTAGTTGACAAAATTCACTTCATTTGTATATTTTCCCATATGGAAGCTCACTGTCAGACCACAGGTTTCCGTGTGTAGACTGAAAGGGCCCAAAAGTTTTTCATCTTTTCCTTTTTCTGCTGTTTAAAACTTCTCTTTCCTTGTGTTTGTTAAGAGATTTTCACTTGATTTATCTTTGTGAAGTCAAAGCCCCTACATGGTCTGTAAATAGAATCATTCTATATGTTAAGATTATAAGATTAAACAGGAAACAAAACATGGACTCAAAAACTCCTCCAGATTTAAAATGTGGAAGCTTCAGGACACCCTTGCTATGATTTCTTCCTTTGCTGCTTAAAAGTTCCATCCCAATGGTTGCAATTGTCAGATTTGACCTCCAAATGAGAGGAAAACTGGTATCATTCCCAAAACTCTGCTAAAGAGGTCTTGGGGTAATTTGAAGGAATGAAGGCTGTTTGTTCATTTGTTTGCAATCATCTTTTTCTATCCATTGGTGATTTTCTTTTCTGAAATGCTCATTTTTTATTCGCCTGGGTCACAGAAATATTGTTGGAAAATCTTTTACACTAACTCTCCGCATGTTTGAAACATAACGGTATGCTTCAACTCAGCCATTTGAATTTCTCCTTCCCATTTTTCCCAAACGCTTTGGACAGTTTTAAAGACTCCAGAAGCATTTGTAGCCAGCTCAGTTCCTGGGAAAATGATTCAACTGAATGAACTAAAAATAAGGCCATTGTATTTAGCCAAGACCTTGCAGAGAGATTCTGGAGCAGGTACCAGCACCTTTTGCAGAGCTCAGCTAAGGGCACAAGAGGTCCGCTTTGCCTTCTGTGGCTGGAAGAGCTGTGCCTGACTTCTCTACGCTGTCTCCATAGTTCTCACCTTTCCAACCTGTCAATCTGGTGCCATTCAGTGATTACTAAATATACAAACAACAACGACTAAAAAAATCAAATACAACAAAAATAGTATTTGCCCAGTAAGGAAGATGGTAATAAGTAGAATATAGACATATCATCACTGATTGCTTCCAGTTTAATGGAAATATTTTTGTTTCAGCAACTTGAGTTATGTAGATATCCATGATTGTGATTGCCATATACAAAAACAATAATGAAAGGTTTTTTTTTTTTTAGCATTCTTTCAGGCGTATAATCAAAACTAAGTAGTTTTAAGGAGATTGCTTTAAAGCATAATTTCTTTCTTCCAATCATTTAAATACATTAAAGATTTTCTCATGACTTTTTTAAAAATATTTTAATCCTCCATTTTTAGGTTTCCAATTAATTCAAGGATTTTTTTTTCAATAAAAGCATATTTCTGAAAGACCTCAATTATTTGCTCTTCCTAAATGTTTTCCATTGCAAGGATTAGAGGTGATAAATCACATTCAGTTTATCTCCTACGGTTTCTTCTAGCACGTTGTCAACTCCCCTCTCACCCTCATGTGCACACCCCCTGCATAGTAACTGCATATGGGACAGTGTAAAGGCTGTGGGATAAGTGACACTATTAGCACAGTGTGGTGGCTTTGATGTGTAGCTCTCGGCAGGGTTGCCAGAAGAGTGACAGACTCCTGCTCTAATGCAAAGACTATTTCTCATTTACTCGCTTCACTTCTAATAGTCTTATATTACCATTAGTGGCACAAAGCAGACAGACAGCATGGCTGAAAAATCTCACATCCATGGATTAGCTTATTACTTTGAGAGCCAGCTTTCTGTATGCAATAAGCCCTTTTTTGAACAGAAATAAAGAAAAATATTCAAAAGTAGAATAGGTATCAAAATGAGGCCAATCATTTTTATTTTAATTCAAATGAAAACAGTGTTACTTCCCACACCACCACCGCCACCCCCACCCCAAGTCCAGGAGCAGGGGTGTGGAAACTCGATTTTTCTGTGCAGTTTCTAAGGCAAAAGCTTTCCTAGTCTCCCTGCATGTGCTAGTGTTTCACAAATTTAGTTTTGCCAGTTTCTAAGCCTTGAGCAAAATGCTGTTCCCAAACAAGAACAAAAAAAATTAATGAATAATTTTTTTACCTAAAAATGAACCATATTAATGTTTGAAAATTGGAAGAAAGAAAAGAGGGGGGATCAGAGGCACCTCAAAAATAGTGTGGTTTTTGTTCTGTGAATGAAGGAGGAGTTAACCAATGAGCAGTTAACCAGTAGGTTTAAAGCAGAAGCCAAACTAGCTATAAATGGGGGAAAATTTTATGTGTCAGAAAGCTGTTAAAGGGGACTTAAAAGAACAAAAAGTACCATTTGTTCCCCTAATTAACTTTGAAGAGTCTAATTAAGGGCAACATAAAAGTCTAAGAAATGCTGGTTATTAGGCATGTACTTTAACTTGATCAGTAAGAGGGTATTCTTGTAAACAAAGATGCTAATTTCACCCAGCCCAAAATAAACCTCTCTGCAAATATCTCACAACATAATCATGCAGTACCTTGGGAGCAGAATTCCTATCTCGTGCAGCCTGCTTTTTGAGGTTACTAATCTAGGTATTAATGGCACTCAATTTAAAGATGCGATGGAGGATTAAAAAGCATTCTGATAATTTGGTCTGAATATGGCCACTTGTCTCCTTAGAGTGTTATCACGTATTTAACTTGGCCTGAGCAGCTCTAAGAATTGACCATTTCAGTCACAAGGAGGTAGAACTGCATCTCTAAAATAGAGACAAGCAGGAAAAAGTTAAAGAGCATTTATATCTGATTAAAACATTACATCAGTACTATTCAAGGTTAAGTTAGGCTTTGCTATTGCCTCAAAAATACCATTTAAGTTTTAGTTTTAACACTCAAATAGTATTTCTTTTTAGAAAAGGAACCTATCGGTAACATAAAAATAGTCATAATATTAGAATAATAAGATTATAAAATTATGTTTTTATCTAGTTTCACTTTAGTTGCTTTAAGTGAAGTGAACACTCATTCCAGAGCTAACAACCCCGACTTCTGGGAACTTGCTTCATGTTTTGATTCAGTGATAATCACTGTCTTCAACTGGGGAAACACAGATAAAGGTATTTTCTGAGTTCTTCACAGGGATGCTATAATGAGACCATTTTAAAGAGCTTTGCATTTCTTGTGATAAAGATATTATGATTTGTATTATTGTCAACACCAATACTAAGCCCAGGAGTGCATGAAGGTAGACAATTGTGGTTTAATGATATAATCACACCAAATGGTATTCCCAATCTGATTTAGTTTTGAATTAGCCGTAGCCTGCAATAGCTAGTGCAGCTTTACAATTGACGTACTATTAAAATCAACTCCATAGCTTACAGCTAGGAAAAAGAATGCCTTCTATGAAGCTTTGAGACTTTGGTTCTAAAATCAGTACTCAAAAGAACAGCTTTCAAATAAAAGGACAGTGTCTAACAGCCTTGAGATGAAGGATTACAGATTATAAATAGAATAAGTTTTAAAAATATATTTTGGCATACAGATACTTCTGAGGATGTTTCCCTGCTGGACTTTGTACAGTGGACTGGTTGTACTTAAACTGAAAGAACTTACAGGGAAGGCTACACTGCTTAGGGTCTCAATCTTGATACTCTTGCCTCTGGAGAAACAATCCAATGTAGACATTACAGACAAGAAAAATGAAACAGAGTCCAAATGGAAGAGTTACAGAAAATTAAGCACCTTAGACTTAGCAATAGACTGGTTCAAACTTTCTGAACCAGTAATGCCCTTAGCTGCCATTTCCATCAATATAAACCAGTATGTATACTCTATACTGTGTGCAAAACACTGAACTATTTTAAGAATAGCAAAGAAGAGGGTAGAACACTGATAGGAACCAAGTAAGTATTCACATAACAGAATCATAGAATCACTTTATTTAAGCCCAAACCCTTTAGCTCAGCCTTGAAATTAATATTCAGAAAATATTGGGCCCATGAAAATTCAATTACACTGCTCCAAACCACAATTATACTGTCTGAAAGTGTTGGTACTACTGCTTTTCACCCAGCCATTCCATTCCCTTCTACTGTAGTTCCTTCACCATTTAGGTAAGAGAATATCATCATCTCCCAGAAGAAAATGCAGAAACTTGTTTTAAGTGTACCAAATCCCTTGAAAGAAATAGTTAAGAATGAAGGGAAGAAACCATTTCAGATCCACTGTCAAATGTATTTACACACTTCCTGAGATCTTATAAGCTCTGATCATATCTTTTATCTTCATATTCCTAATCAATCAGTGAGAGGAATTATCCCCAATAAAGGCAATGGAGACAAGAATCATTTTTTCCTGTGAAAAGGAGTAGAATATGAATATTCTATATATCTTTGATTAGAATATTCCTCTCTGATGTGACCATGACTGTCCCATCATATTTTATTGCTACAATGACTCTGTGCCTTCTGATGTGCCCAAGGACTCGATGTGTCTTTACCTGCAGCAAGAGACTAATTTAGTGCTAATCGCTCAGTGTTGTCATCAAACAGTCAGTGTTGTCTGCAACACCTCACTACCTGTATGCAGCTTTGGGTAGGAATGCTTAATCTTCACATACATCCATTTATTGGCCTTTTAATTCATTTATATACCTTCTTTACTTTCCACCTTAGCCAAGTTAACATCATCAAGACAAAAATGACCCATTACTGAGAACACTGTAAGAGTTGTCCTATATGTAATATATGGATCATTCTTCACTCCTTTCTCAATTAGAAAGTTTAGGGAGGAAATAGAGAAAAAAAAAATTCAAAGGTTGAGAAGTATGTAAGTCTGTATTCTGAATCTCTTTTTGAATGGAATAAGTACCCATGCCTACATTTTCTCAAAACACCCTTAGAAAACTTATGTGTGGGGGCCTGGCACGGTGGCTCAGGCCTGTAATCCCAGCACTTTGAAAGGCCAAGGCAGGTAGATCTCTCGAGGTGAGGAGTTCAAGACCAACCTGAACAAAATGGTGAAACCCCATCTCTCTTCCTCTCTCTCTCTCTGTATATAAGTGTGTGTGTGTGTGTGTGTGTGTGTGTGTGCAAAAATTAGTTGAGCATGGTGGCATACACCTGTAGTCCCAGCTACTCAGGAGGCTGAGGCAGGAGAATTGCTTGAACCTGGGAGGTGTAGGTTGCAGAGCTGAGACAGACCACTGCACTCCAGCCTGGGCCACAGAGCGGGCTCATCTCAAAAATAAAAGAGAAGAAAGAAAACTTATGCTTATGCACGTGAAGAAGCAACTCCCTGCCTCCCTGGCCTCAGCCTTGTCAGAGTTTAGATGGTTAAATGACAGATCATGGAACAAAACTGACTATTCTTCTCCATATCAAAAGGAAACCAGGCATGTTTCAAAGCCTTATGAAAAGCCAACCTGTTTCTCATGGTTATCTTACCCAGCTTTGGGCCAAGTCTCAACAAGAACAGGAGCCCAGACACAGTCTCTTCAATTTTGAGTTTTTCCCTTCAAAGATGCATTTCCCACAGGTGGCATTTTAATGAGTACTTCACAGAATTCCACATCTGTGTTGAGTGGGCCTGATATTTCTCCCCAAATAATTTTTTTAACCTCATATTCAGATGAGCCAAAGTTTGGTCTTCAGAATTGAATACCCACATCTACTCTGCTTGATACTTGGATGAGTGGAATGCTTTATCCAGATGTTCTATCCAGACTAATTTTGTAGTCAGGCACAATGAATGATGACAAAAATAATTCAGCAAGATACAACAGTATGTGGGTCAGTGATTTGAAATAGAGTCACAGACACTCACATCCATAGGTAGCAACCTGTTTCTTTCCATCAGTGGAAAAGGAATTGCTGGTAAGAACATGGTTTATCAAATATAAGAATAACACTGCATACCCACTTTATTTTTAAGACATAATTTTTTAGAAGTTTTAATTTATAGCAACAGTGAGAGGAGGTACAGAGATATCCCATATTTCCCCTACCCCCACACATGTATAGCATCCCTTATTATTCACATCACCCACAAGAGTGGTACATTTATTGCAATTGATACATCATTATCACTCAAAGTTCAGAGTTTGTATTAGGGCTCACACTTGGTGTTGTATGTTCTATGGGTTTAGAAGAATGTGTAATTACATGTATCCACTCATTACAATATCACATTGAGTATTTTCACTGCCCTAAAAATCCTTCGTGCTCTAGCTACTCATCCCTCTCACCCTACTAACTCTTAGCAACCACTGGTCTTTTTACTGTTTCCATAGTTTTGCCTTTTCTAGAATGTAATACAGTTAGAATCATAGTGTAGCCTTTTCCGATTGGCTTCTTTCACATAGTGATATATATTAAGGTTTCTTTCACGTCTTTCCATGGCTTATAGCGCATTTCTTCTTAGCATTGAAAAGTATTCCATTATCTAGATATACCACAATCTATTTACCCATTCACTTACTGAAGGACATCTTGGTTGCTTCCAAGTTTGGGCACTTATGAATGAAGTTGATATAAACATCCATGTGCAAGCTTTTGTGTGGAAATCAGTTTTTAACTCCTTTGGGTAAAAACCAAGGAGTGCAATTGCTGGATCATATGATAAGGGTATGTTTAGTTGTTTATAAAGCTGCCAAACTGTCTTCCAAAGTGGCTGCGCTGTTTTGCATTCCCACCAGCAACGAATGAGAGTTCCTGTTGTTCCATATCCTCACCTCACTATTTGGTGCTGTCAGTGTTCTGATAATGGGATTTTGTCCATTCTGATAGATATGTTGTGGTATCTCATTTTAATTTGCATTTCCCAGATGACATATATAATGTGAAGCATTTTTTCATATGCTTATTTGGCATCTGTATATCTTTCTTAGTGAGGTATCTGTTGAGGCCTTTGGCCTATTGTTGGTTTTTTTTTTTAATTGTTGAGTTTTAAGAGTTTTTTTGTATATTTTGGATAATAGCTATTTATCAGATATGTCTTTCGCAAATATCTTCTCCCAGTCTTTGGCTTGTCTTTTTATTCTCTTGACAGTGTCTTTTACAGAGCAGAAAACTTTAATTTTAATATAGTCCAACTTACCAATTGTTTCTTTCATGGATCATGCCTTTAGCATTGTATCTAAAAAGTCATTGTCAAACCCAAGATCATCTAGATTTTCTCCTATGTTAGCTTCTAGGAATTTTATAATTTTGCATTATACACTTATGTCTGTGATCCGTTTTGACTTAATTTTTGGGAAGAGTGTAAGATCTATACCTAGATGTATTTTTTTTGCATGTGGATGGATGTCCAGTTATCCCAGAACCATTTATTAAAAGACTCTTTTCTCTATTGTATTGCCTTTGCTCCTTTGTCAAAGATCAGTTGACTACATTTCTGTGGGCCTGCTTCTAGGCTCTTTATTCTGTTCCATTTATCTATTTGTCTATTCTTTCACCAATACCACACTATTTTGATTAATGTAGCTTTGTGGTAAGTCTTGAAGTCAGATAGTGTCTGTTCTTCAACTTTTTATGCAGCACATACTTCAAGGCTTTCACACAGATGAAGTGATGGATCTATACCAATAAATGCAAACTCCGCTTCCTAGTCTCCAGTGTGAACCAATCACCTCTATCCAGGATGAGCAGCAGAGCGTTGAAATCCATTTGCAGATATGGATAGAGAGGAAGTAATTCAATCTCAGGACTATAGAGTTGGAGTCGTTAAGAAAATCTAATTCACTCAGGGGATTCTAACTAATGCACTGAGCTAACCACTTGGACAAGGGAAAGAGTGGTACTGGAAAAATGTGGGTGGCCCAACATAGTTTTTTGGTAATATTTATTATATATCAACCATTCATACTGACACATCCCTAAAAAATAGTCTTAAAAAGTATGCTGAAGGCGAATCTAAATTATACAAATGAAAAGAAAAGAAAATGCTAAAGATAAAAGTGCAAATTACACGCCATATCCTAAAAGCTATTCATTATTAGCATTGTGAAATACCTGAAAACATTTGTGATTTCTGTATGACTTGTTTTATTTTTTAACAAAAATTCTGCGTTGGTGTTAAACAGATTTTCAACCCTCAACAAACCAGATGGCTAATCCAAAATTATTACATGAAATATGAATAGGAAACTAAGAACTGTACTCTGCAGAAAGATAATGAGAATTTTTCAGCATTTACATTTTTACCAAATAAATTATATTTCTATTTCATTGGGATCTACTTCGGAATTATAACAAATAGTCTCAGTGATAATTACCAAATGTCTATATTTAGGGAAAACTAGCACATGTGTATCATAAATAATAGCACAAATTGATATTTCTGAATTGCCTGTTTTTCTAGATATAGACATTTGGTAATTATCACCAGAGTTGGCATGTAAAGAGGTGTTTAGACAATTTTAAAAATTCATATTGCTTACTCAATAGACCATGCACTAATTATACTCTGCAATGAAAATCTATATTCAGGTGTGTTATAATAAGGTAAGATCTTGACCCAATAGGTAATAAAGGAAAAGTATATACTTTGGCTTAATGAGTATAATCACTTCACTTTAGGACTACCTACAACAGCTGTCTGTGACTGACAAATCACTTGCTAATCTAATAGTGGTCCCAAGGTGAAATAACTTTGACCTTAAAACTAAAATGTTTATTTCCCAAATATTATTTTTGTACCTTGGCACAAAGAAGTTCATTAATTCTGCATCACTTTGTCTGTCTCCTGCAGCTTTTAGTTTTGACTTATTGACTGATTGGCAAAGAGTAACTGCCAACAGAGAAAGGTTTAGCACAACTTGGCCAGAAAAGGCCTGCTTTTGGCTCCTTCCCTACTAGAACTCATGTTTGTGGAAGTGTGTCTTCCCCACCCCCACCCCGCCCAGGTAATATTCAGGCAGTATGCAGAGAACAAATACAGGCAACAGATGGAATATTTGCTTGGTCCCAACCACCTTAGTGTCTGGCCAATTCTTGGCAAATATTACTTTCAGAACATAGGGAGGTATGTGAAACACCATCAGCCATTACCAGGTGACACTGACAACAGTGATGTCAGCTGTGACTTGGGCAATGGGGAGGACCAACTGGCTGGCAGCAATGAGAAGTTACTAAATTAAAGCTATCTTGCTCATTGCTGCCATGAGAAAGTGATACAGCTCAGTGGGCTGCTAATGAGAAGCAAAAGAAGAATATAAAGGCAATGCCAAGAGGTACAAGAAAAGGAAGAAAGATAATTATGAGTCAGAATTTAAGCTTCAACTAAAATGCGAATTCAACAGCCATAAGAAAAAAGAAATAGGCTAGTTTGCACTGACTAATAGGAATTTAACAATAAGCATGAGATGCTGAGGAGATGAATAGCATAGCAAAATAGGTAGAATTAAAAAAAAGACAAGATCATGCATAGAAATTTAGTTAGTATCACAATTCAACAAAATATGAAAACAAACTCTGCTAGGAAAAGTTGGTATGATGAGGTGTTTGCTGGTTCTTGGAAGGTTTCTGAAAATTGGATACAATTTTTCTAGATTAAATATCTTTAATTACTAGCTCAGCCTAGATGATGAAATGAACATATTATATAATTAAATGATGGTTCTCTTCTTTGTCGCACACAAATTCACAGGCCCATTGATCCCATCAGTCCTTTCACATCTTTTTCTCTGTTGTTGCAGCTCTTAATAAATGATACCTTGTGAGACCTAGTATAATTATCTCATATTCTGGCCGGGGTCATTAGAGCTCACCTATTATTTCATATGCTCCCTGGTAATGGTTTTTGTGATGTGTCATTTTGGCAACTTGGGTTAGTGTTCAATCAAACAATATGCTAGGTGTTGCTGTGAAGAGAGTTTGTAGATATAATTAAAAGTGCGTCATCATTTGACTTTACATAAGGAAGATTATCTTGGCTAATTTGGGTAGGCCTGATGAAAAGCAAAGCTGAGATTTCCCTGAGAGGAAGAGAAAAAAAAAAAAAGTCCTGTTGATAACCGCCGTAGGCTATGGTGCAAATGCCCAAAGTACCTATGAGTTTCAGCCTACTTGTAGTCTCCCCTTCCTGGTGGCCTGCTTTGTGGGTTTCAGCCTTGCATATCCAGCTCCCACAACTGCGTAAACCCGCTTCTTGTAATAAATCTCTTAATATATACATCTCCTGCTGGTTCTGCTTCTGTGGCTTAATCCTAACTCATACATCCCACTAAATTTTCCAGGCTCCCTTGGGTAGGTGAAAGCTATGTGACTAGTTTGGCACATGGACTAAGAGATGAGAATGAATGCACAGCTAAAATCAAAGCTGGCGTGCCTCCTTTGTCTCTTCTTCAGTGACAAGCCTGAAGACCGTGAGTTAAGATCATAGAGCCACAGACCAGAAGCAGCCTGCATCCCTGAATCCCAGTACGGAATAAAGTGTCACCTGAACTGCTTCAGACTTTGTGGGAATGAGAAACAAACCTTCCTTTTAGTAAGCCTCATATTTGTTAATTTTATATTTCAGGGTTTATTTATTAGTTCAGTATAGCCAGTCTTGTCACATTTTACGGAAATATTCTTGACTTTCTTTCTGAAATGTCTGGTTAAATGTTTATAGACAATTTAATAGACATGTAATGTGTTTGTTAAATGTCTGCACACATAGAGAATAATCAGAAACTCACTGGACACATTTTTGTCTTTAGTTATGACAAAGTACACTCCCATAGGATGATCAGAAGCTTCCTTTTTATGGGCAATACTGTAAGCTAAAAACAAGACAGGTAGAAAACAGTAATGGGTCAAAAACATGAGCACTGATTATGCTGACTACACTATTAACAAGACTTTGGTTGCTTTATAAAATCAAACTCCATGCTTGTTTTTTCTTAGCTCCACTGCAGTCCACTCTTATAATCTGAAGAGGCTCCTATGATCAGAGTCAAAGATATAAATGCTAGGATGCCACAAAAATGAGGAAGAAGAAACACCCTGTTAGCAATGTCCAGGTGTGACAAAATAAACTGCAACAATAAACTGGAGGGCTAGTTGATGCAAAAAATAATCTGACTCTTCAATCTTATTGGGCCTTTATTTATGTGGTTGAGTTTGTGATGAATAGTTTCAGGATAGGCACCTTGACTTGTCTACAGTGCTACAATCCCACCTAAGAGTTACAGATGGTCTCTTTATGCAGACCATTATTTCTTTAATTACTCTCCTTAATACATTTTATTTATTAAGACAGAAAATGTTAAGAAGCTTCTGTGTTTTTTAATTTAAAACAACATTGTTAAGATTGTTTTAATTAAATACTGTTCTAAATTAATTACACACATATACAAAGAAGAGGGTAAGAACACTAAAACTTTCACAATGATGGAATAAAAAGTGATTTAAAATTTTTCTATCTTCTAACTTTTCTATCTGATGTTAATTATAACTTACTCTTATCCATTTGTTTAAAAATAAAAATTTTTAAACAATTTTTCCAAAAAGAAGATGGATTGTTTTAACTCAGGAAAAAATTTACAATGTAATCAAAAACTAAATTAATTAATTATAGAATATTAAGCATTGCAAAAGATTATAATAACATTATAAGTACAAGATCTTAAATGTATGATAACACTCACTTTTCATATGACTTTCCATCTAAATTCACAGCATTTAGATGATTAACAAGTGCCTTTTCCATAGAGTTATCAAAAGTAACTTTTAAATGAACATTCAATCTTTCCCTGGAAACTAAATGATTGCTCGATGCAGTAAAATCTAAATCTGAATGCACGGTTCTCATTTTAACAAACATGTACTCAGGTTTCTTAGTGGATTTTATTTTTAAACAAATGGATAGGAGTAAATTATAATTAACATCAAATGCTCTTTATGTTACAAGATGCTACTAAATGCATAAGTATGCTTGAAACACTTTATTTCTAGTCAATACAAGCATTATATTCACCTACAAAATTTATAAATACTATTAGCTCACAATATCTCTTGCTAAGCAAAGGTCAACATAATCTAGTCTGCATCCAATTGATCATGAGTTCTTGATTTGCAGGGACTAATTAGTGTGTCTTAATTATTACCCAATTCTGCTACCATCATCACATTTATATTACTGCTACATTTCTCACTATTTTTCTTGGCAATATCCTTAATTTCCCAATTCTATTTTATTAGTTTTAATTATGTCATAGAAATTATCTCTAACCTACATATGCATGTTATTCTTTTTCATTTGCCATACTTGCCAATAATTGATCTTGGCTGTTCTCTATTTTATAATCTTCACCAATTATGAGGTTGATAGGGATTTATCTTCATGTATGCAGAACTGGCAAAAAAACATAGATATATACTTATGTACACACATATAAATTCATTTTAGAAACCAGCTGACAAAGTTGAACGTGGTTAGTGACTTGTTAAGCTTTAGAAGCGTTCAACCTTAGAAACTGAGGGGCAATGGAATACAAAATTACTTTTGGTTCATTTGAAGTTTTAAAGTCCCTGAAAGTTGAAAGGAAAAGGAACCTCCTGACAATTACTGTCTGAACTGTTTTTCTCTTGTTTTTGCCTAAATTTGGTGACTCTTTCCTTTTCTCCTTTCACCCTTCATTATCCACCAACATCAAAATACTAAAATGTTACTTTTTCTATGTCGAGGTATCAGTCTAAGGACCAAATATAGTCCCGGTCTAACCTGTTTTTACCAAAGGCTTCATAATGTTTTTGAGGTGTTTTGTAGGCTAGTTTTTGGGTTTGTTTATTTTAAAAAAAAAACTCTTTAATGTTTTTCAGAAGATAAGTAAACAAGAACAATTATACCTTTTTCTTAATGAACGGAAAGAATCAAGGGTGTCCCTAAGGCTGTGGTGAATATAGGAGCAACTGAGGTGAGGGCCAGGGGGCTGTCTCCCGCTAAGGTATCATTGTGGTTTTGCTGTAGAAGTCCAGGAAAATAAATGCTTTCTGTATCTTAATAAATGTAGCCATGTCATCCCTACCATAAACATGTGTACAGCCCTGCCACCAGAGAAAAACTACAGAATTAATGACTTTTAGGTGTCTATCTACTCACCTAGATCCCAAAACTCTGACCACAGTACCCGCAACCCCATAAGTGGCTTTTGAATTTGGAAAGCTACATATATTCTCATCCTTATATACAACGATTGTACAGAAATACAGCGAAAACAGCACGATGACATTTTCAATGAACACTTTCCCAAAATACCAACTATTTGCTGTCCTAAGACCTGTTTGGCAAGAGAGATAAATATAAAAATACAAATAAACATACAAATAAAACACAGAACTTAGCTTCTTAGCTTTGGGGAAGACAGAGAGAAATCATATTCATCATGTGTGGCTGGAACAAATGTAGTCAACATTTATTTAACTGCTAAAAAAATTATCTAGTCATAGTATTGAAGCTTCTTCACGTTTATTTTTTGGTCCCACGAAGCGGATAGTTAATGCAGGCATTATTGATGATAATAGCGGAAAATGAAACATTTTATATGATGGAAGAATTAAATAATAATGATAAGAGCCAGCCTAAGAATCAACTCAGTTACTGGCTTAAAGAGAAGAGTGTCTTTCCTATCCTGAGTTTTCCAGAATAAAAGAGGAACTAAAATTTCAGATGCCAAGGTTAGCACAGATATACATACCAAGTAGTCTGCCTGTTCATCTTTAAATATGTTCAAAATGTACAAAGAAAAAAATAAGATTCATTATCATTAATTAGCCAGCATGTAATAAAATCCAATGACAATTTTTTATAGTTCAGCATCAACTCCCCACACTACAGCTGAGTGTTTTTCTTCTTCCTTACGTGCCACAGCTGTTTCTGATCCTCTCACTATTTTTCTAATTTAAAGACCAAGAAGTTTGTTTTCATTTGACAGTGTATAAGATTTTCAAACTATTTGCTGGAAACTGCACTCTAATTTCTGCTGTTATGTGTTCTTCTATTTGAATGTCATTTTTAAAAATAAGCCTTTTCCTGGTGCTCCAATTCTGAGATGGTACAAAAAAGTACGCTGATAGGAAGGCAACAGTCAAAATAATTCAACCATTGCCCTGGAGAACTTGGCACCTCTCTTGTTTGTTTCTCTCCCAATCAACAAGCCCTTAGTTCTACCAGATCCACTGGCTTTATAAAAATGGTAAATCAAACGCCAAAATGTGTCACAATACAGGATGTAAATTAGAGATATATTTATATATTTATACACTCTATCAAGAACTAAAGGACTCAATAAAAATGCAATAAAAATGTGAAAGGGAATATGTGAACTTTTTTTTCCTGGCAACTTGTATCCTCTGGCTTAAGAGATAGCTGCTATTCAGTGAATCCACTGGCAAAACTAACATTTCTGTCTTTCTTTCTCCATTAACTGTGTCCTCCCGCAAGTTCTTCTTTTGATGGAATAACAGAAGTCATTGCCTGTATCACAGTGATCACCACATAACTTTTGAAACCACAAGCTTCCTGTCTTAATTTCTGAAAACTTCATTTTAGTGCCAGTTCTTGATGATCCTATCTGAATTAGTCATAGGAGTACTGCTGGCTTCTGTTTCTGAAGTATACTGTAGTATTATAATTATATTACATAAATATATACTATACCTAAAAATTGCATACTACATATGAATGCAAACCTATGAATTAGAAGTATATTGTATTGCTTGGGAAGAGGGTGGATTGGATTTGAATGCTGACTCTGCAATATATTAGTTGTCAGGCCTTGGACAAATTGTTCATCTTCCTGTGCCTCAATTTCTCCTCTTATGAAATGGAGACAAGAAAGTTTCCTATGCTATCAGGTTGTGGTGAGGATTTTTAAATTAATAAATACAAAACACACAGAACTGTACCTGGCATGCATTAACACTCAATTATTGTTAGTGTTTTATTTTTATTATCATCTTTATTACTTTCATCATCAAATTTCACACCACCACAAAAGTTTTATTACAAATTGCCAATCATGACAATTCCTAAAATATTTAAATATTTCAGGAACACATAGTCCAAAAACATTTTTAAAGTAATGCAAGATTCCTGCATGTGGCAAAGTTCCATTCTCATGTCATCCTTTACATTTCATATTTGGATTGAGCCTTACTCTTCTGTGACAAAAAAAGTTTCTCCTAAATTTTAAATATCTTAACATAAAGTTTGCACTACATAAATAAAAATTACATTTGTGGATAGATGTCACTTCTATTTGGAAATCTGAAATATTTAATTATGTTTTACAATTTCTATGAATTTTCCAGATAATAAAATATCAGTTGGAAATGTCCATTTGATAGGATTGGCTTCTGTGAGATCTGCTCAGCTGCTTGCGTGTATTTTTATGTTTATGAAAATACAGCCAATCTTGGGCAAAAGAAATAAATCAGGTTTGAACTTTTATCATAACCTGTTGATTAACTACTAGCAATCTGTCATGTTCTGGGTCACATTACTACAGAAAATGGAGCGTCACCTCCCGGAGTGCCCCTGAGAACCTTAAGTTCATGGGAATGAACAGTAGAAGGGACCTCTGAACCCTTTCCCACAGCCAAATGACAGCTGTGATTCTTTGGCCTCAGCTTGCCTTCTTAAGCTGATTCGGCATGAAATTTATTATGCTTCCTCCACAGCATCCCATGTCGGCTAGGGACATTTATTATTCTGACCAATTATTGAAGGATATATGTTTTTCCTATCATTCAGTTTGATCAAAATTCTAGCCTCTAAAAAGGAACAAACCACAGCTCAGGAATGAGGTAGGAGTGTACTCTGACATGCTGCCAAAGTTTGTTCCCTGCCTCTGGAGTGCAAACTTAAGTACACTTTAATCCTGCTTTAAAAAGCCATGTTGAGGCTTCATTTTACCAGCAAGTTTCTCAGATCGGAATAATGGGGGAGACAAAGACATCAAAAAGACAGATGAAGAGCTCAAACTTTTTAGAAAAATGCTGAGCTTCAATCTTTTCAAGTTTCTTCTACTTTTAAGCAGTGAGACCTTGAGTAAATTTCCTGACCTTGAGTAAATTTCCTAACCTTGAGCCTCAGTGTTCTCATTTGCAAAATGGAAATAATAATTGCTCCCAGTATTGTTGTGAAATTCAAATGAGATAATGAGTGTTAAACATCTGATGCAGACAGAATTCAATGAATATTAGTTCTTATGAGTAGGTTTATTGAACTTTGAAGTCACATGTACTGTTTGGTCTTTGTTGGAGTTTTTGAATTATTTGCTCATATCTTGAATACTTGAAGCTTAATAAGCTTATAGAAAGGAAAGGACTAGATAATGCAGGAAACCAAAGGAAGTGAGGAGGATTTAATTTTATCTTAGGAGTAATGGGAAGTAATTGAATAGAAAATATCTAACTTGTCTTTAAAATAAATTTAAATAGGAGAGCTGCAAGAGAAAACCAGGGATATTTTTTGGAAGCTTTTTCTGGTCCAGAAGAGGGATGACAGAAGCTTAGACCAAGGTAGTGGTGTTGGAGATGAAGAGAAGTGGTCATTTATAAGTAGAATAAAAAGGGCCTGCTGATATATTTATTGAATGTTGAAGAAAGGAATCAAAGATGGAGAATGGAAGTGCCATTTGCTGAGATGGGGGAAAATAAGGTGTAGAGGATGAGAGAGTGCCAATTGCTGAGATGGGGGAGAAAAGAAAGTTGTTGAGATGCAGAGGGTGAGAAATCAAGAGTTCTCTTTTGGACATGTTATGTTTATGAGGACCATTAGACACACATGGGAAAGTAGTAAGGGCTGAGCACATGGATACCTTGAGGCTGTCATCATAATGACATTTGAAGAGCCAGTCTTAATTTAGCCAGACATGTCCTGCATTGACCTGTTACAATGTTATAATAAGGGGCAACAAGCCCCTTATTCTTGAAACTCCCTAAATTAGAGTGTTAAATTTATTAGATAAAGGGTCTTTTTTAAGAAGCTCATTAGAGGAAAAGAGTTTGCCTATTATGTGGCAGAGAAAGAGGACTCTGGCTTATTGAAGTTTCTTTATAAGCAAATAGCCAGAGAGGTCTTGATCTCTTAGCTAGGCCTGGCCCACGACTTACAGAATTGGTAAGGTGAGGTTTGGCAAATGGGAGATTTTGGTAAAGAAAAGACTAACCAAACATCTTAAGCATCTAGAAGACATTATTCAGTAATTATGTGGAAGGCAATTTTGAAGATGGTATTCAGGATGGCTAGGTAGGGTAGAAAAATCAGCATTCAATATAAAAGACAAAATTTGTCTGCAATTTTTTTCAAAGCAATAATATGTATAGTCAACTCTCAGTTACGGAATCATAAAATCTACTGTCTCTAAACATTTATGCTAGACTTTAATTCCCTTCACCTTACATTTATAAAACAACCAAAAACTAAGCATACATGACTTATATAGCTTTTTCATTTGTTCCTTTCACTCTTATCCTCAAAGGAATGTTCTAATAAAATGTGAAATATGTTTTTTAAATGGAACAAAGAAGGAAAAAGACAGCAACAGTACGGTCAATATATTGCTCGTTTCCGGATAAACAGAGGTTTACAAATACTCAGAATTCGGTAGTTGTATTTTTAAAACCTTTCTACAATCGTTTTCAGTATCTTTTACTATAATAAGTTAGGGTAACTGTTTACAGAATGATGGAATATATCTTGAACAATTCACTACTCTCTTTTCAGAGGATAATGCTTCACAAGAAAGGGGTATGTGTGTATGTTTGTGCCCCAGTGTAATAGAGAGAGGAAGGGAGGGAGGGAAGAAGGGAGGGAGAGAGAGATAGAAGGAGAAGACATTTGGTGACACATCCAAATATTATTTAAATTCTAGCATGGAATCATAGCAATTGATCTTTGGAACCCTGGTGATCTCTGCGGTTGGCGTTATAACTGTTTGAAGGCTTCCACCATGTGGGGTGGCTGAGAACTGTTGTCCTGCAGCTGAGCCAGCACAGTTACACACTTTTGGTCCTTCCATCTGAGCTGCTACACAGAGAGCAGGTTTTGGAGCAGGTTCTTACAACATGAAGCCATCATGACTGAAGCTTGATGCTCCAAACACAGACACATTCTCACTTCCACAAATGTTTAAGTAAAAAGAGAATGTGCTGAAGGAGGAAATTATTGTCTTTTTGTTTCCTTCCTTTCATTTTCTTTTCTTGAAAAAACACACCTCGTATGGTGTTTTGACTTACAGAAAATGAAAAACAAAGATTAATTCTGAAACTGCTAATTGTGTAAAAAGCACGGATTTTCAAAGAAACTAAATGTTCTTTTATTAGCATGGAAAAACTTTTGAAGAGAAAGTATCAACCATTTTCCTTCGAATATTTTCCCCTAATAAAACAGATATTTGGACAAGATTCATCAAAATATGTCTTTCCACCCCCAAAATATGTGTATCTATTATGTATCAATTAAAAGTAAAAGTAAAAAATATAACTGTCAAAAATCCCGCCATATCATGCTGATTTTTCAATTTTCTATAAGATCATATTTTAAATTAGTATAATTTCTAATGTAGAAACACTTCCTTATAAAACAGCAGATTTTTATTTTAGCTAAAAACATTGATTTCAGATCATGATTATCTGAACTGATAGAGTTAACAGTAAAGAAGTAATATTTGCATTTCTCATAGGCCAAGGAAAATAGAATACAGTTGTAAAACTCTATGGATTAAAAACATTTGCCCATGGTTAACTATTGCTAGAAATCACAGTATAAAACCTCATCTCTGGCTTTTCCAGTGCTTCATCACCATAAGTCCTGAATGTGGCAACCCAACCATAAAAAAATAAGAAGGTTCCTACCCCAAAATATTATTCCTAACAAATCTTTGATTGGGGATTATCAATTTAGACAGAGCGCATGTTGGGTGGACATCCAGCATCTACTTAAAGGCACATCGTATCGCTCAATATTTTGGTGTGCACTTTCGACGTAACAATTGGCATTGAGGAGGTTTGTGCTCTGAAAGCATTTCTCATTACCCCACTCTACAGGGGTGAGAGAAGAATGCGTGTGCCCAGTTGGCTTCTGAAACAATAACCCCAAATACAGCATAGCTATAGTTGATATCTTTGGGGAGTAACTAGCATTATTTTATGAAAATTATTTAATGTATACCTGTATATTGACCTTTGTAAAAAGGAGAAAACAATATGGAGTCTGCAAGGGGAGGTTATTTTTTAATGCTACAGGAGTGAGAGAAGTTGGTCAATTACCACTTACCGAAAAATGAAAGAATAACCTATGGGTAGCAGCATCGTGATGAAGAGAATAAATCAAAATGCTCTTATTTATTGGGGAGTTATAACTATCAGAGGGATTGTGGAACAAAACACTCCTCATCTCTACATCCACCATTCAAATGCTTCCTCTGCTGTGTTAGCCCATTGGGAAATCACAGTTCTCTATAAGTTGCATTTTCCTCCTTAGCCAAGTAAACTTATTATGTGATTACATTGCCATTTAATCCCCCGTAATTGTAGCAATATGTACAGCGGGGTAAGTCAGCAAAAATTCTCCTCTGTCCAGGGAGGTGAAAGCCTTGTGGAATCTGGGCATTCCAGTACTTTGGAAGAGTAAGCTTCCATTGCTCAAGATGGTGACATCACTTCCACCAATGGCTGAGACTGAGGAAAATGTGTGTTTCTTTTCTTAAGAGATGACAAGTTAAGTAAATCATCCTAGGAAAATGCTGAGCAGGTTATTTGATATATGCTAACTAGATGGATGCTTTAGTGAAGAAGCAAAGGTGCACAAGCGATCTTGAGACTGAGAAATGTTGCTTCCAACAAGCTTGTCTCTCAGTGGTCAAAATATGTTTTCACTCCCTGCTCTCTTCATCTCCTTTACTCTGGAAAACTGATAGGTGAATCACTTTTGTTCAGCTATGATTATTTTTACACCTCAAAACACAGCCTACAGGCTCACTTTTAGGTCATAATTTCACACAGAGACAACTTGTTCAAAAGGTGAAAAAAAATTTAAAAAGCTCTCAAAGTCCTAGTAAATATTAAGCAGCAGATAAGTCAGGTTCAAGTGAAAGCAAAGGAAACATTAACCATTTCTTGCTAGAAACATACTGTATATTATTTAGCTGCATCTAATCAACTTCATTTGGTTCCTTATTTTCACTTCAAGGTTCCTCAGGGCAGTGTACACAATACAGTGTCTCCACCTTTGCAAATAGCTTGAAATCCAAAAATGCATTTGTAAATCAGTGTTCGAATTCAGAATGTGTTTACTGTCGAGGAAAAAAATATATGTGGGGGTTAGATTTCTAGGCTACCCTAAGGCATATGATGTCATTTTAATGTATTAACAACAGTGAACATTTATATTTGCAATGAAAATTGCAAAATTCAATATTCTTAAAATACTAATACTTGTACTTACAGAAAAGCATTTTAACTGTTGCTTGTTTTTTCAAACTGAAATGCTGAAAATAAAAATGATTGTAAAATACCAGATTTCTGTATAGACTGAAGATTTATTGCCTCTATGTAAGAATGATCCAAATTTTTTAAGAGTTAGATTTTAATATTGCAGAGAGCAAAAGTAGCAAATGCAAACCAATAAAATTTTGATAGGTATTACAAATTACATCATCAGCACATGTATTTATTTTGCATGTGTCTTCTTGCTTTATCAAGAGGTTGGACCACATTTTTCAATTATTTTATTTCAATCTCCATATCTATTGCAGCTGTCAATGCTCATCTGGCATAAGATAAATGAAATTATCTCTCAGACAGAATAACTGAATTCTGTGACCACTTTGAAGCTTATCCCCGAGGCTAAGCTTTTCTGGATCCTGTAGTGACTCCAACACCTGACCAATGGGAATGCTCTACATTCAGACACTTTATAACACTTCTCATCATGACCTACAACGACATGGCATTCCAAAGATATTCTCTTTTGAACTCATTAAATTTGGCAGTGGAGGATAAAAAGAGGCATACTGGATTTAAAAGATATTTATGAAGCATGAGAGAAACTACGTTGTCAACAGGTTTCCCTACTTCTGCTATTTCCTTTAGTAGTCCATTTCCACAGAAGCTACAGGAATTCTGTAAGACATTACATTACAATTCTATCCAGCTTATATTCATTCAATGGCTTCTGATTATACTTGAAGTATAATCTAAACTCAAAGTTTTTGCCTTCCAGGTGCTATGTGACCTACCGTAGTTACCTTGCTGAACTCATCTGGCTCTACTCTCTACCTCCCTACTTCTCTTGAGTCCCGTTAGCCAGCACACCTGGATCCTCCACATCTGAGCACCATCTGCTCCTTTATTCTGCCTAAAATGTACTTCCTCAAATCTCTGTATGGCTGGCTCCTTAATATAAGTCTGCTCACTATAAAATGGCATTTCTGACCTAGCACCCTTTTAAACATAACTGCTGACCTTCCTCCCTCTACTTTCTATCATTAAACTCTATTATTTTAGATCATTTACTTATCACTATGTGAAATCATATGATTTATCTTGTTTCTGTTTGTCTTTTCCCCCCAGATAGAATGTAAACTTGATGAGGGTAGGAACTATTTATGTCTTAGTTAACGTTGTTTCCCTAGCACCTAGCCTGGTGCCTAGCACATAGTAAATAATAAATGTGTATTAATGAATGAATAGCTATTGATGTTAAAGAGACATTCTTGAATTTAGGTCGATGTCTGTAATCATTACACCATTGCTAAACATTATTATAATTAACTAATTTTGTAGCCTTGAGAAAGGAAATCTCACCCTCTTGACTGAAATGTCAAGTTCAAGAGGTGAAAGTTCAAGTTATGAGAAAGACATAAAGTCTCAAAGTGCTTTAAGCCAATTCTTTCAAAAATGAACTGAAAAGAAAGGTTAAAGGGATTGAGGTATTTTTTTAGCTTACCAAATAGAGACCTGGAAGATTAGTTAATTATCGCCTTCACATATATGAAGACTTTTTTATCATGAAAATGTCAAGCTTTTATCTGTCCACGAAGGGGAAAGAAAAGGAAACATTTAAATTCAAGCTGGAGATAATTAGGGTGAACCAAAGACTCTCTGGGTCACAATAAAATGGGCTACTAAGAGTGATTTGGAATGCATGTGGCCAAAATTCTGACAGGAGAGAGTTTAATAGATCTATTTTAAATGTGACCAATAACTTCAATGAGAGGTGTACATAGTAGGGATTCCCAGGTAACTTTATTTGACTAAGAAATGTGTTTAGCAATGTAAGATTAACACATATTGATATATATGTATACAAAATAGCTCAAATTAATACCAATGTGTATAAATGCATGCCTTACTCTTTCCTAGTCCTTTTCATCCAACTAATATGTTCTATATACCTGTCCAAATAAGCTGCTGAGTCTAATAAGCAGTTTCCAAATAGAAACCAAGTGCATCATAATTCTGTCATCACTGATTTCTCCTTCTCCCTCCCCTCTTCTTACCTAGTTTACTCAGCAGATCTCAGAGGAAGAAAAAGGTAAGATAAATGTCCAGTCAAACTTAACCAACCACTGGTATAAGAAGTATTGCTTCTAGCTACTCAATGAAATCAGAAAAACACTTTTTCTACTCCATTATTAGCTAATAATATTAATTAACAGTTATTGAATATTTATTATTTGCCAAGCATTTCCCAAGGTGCTGTTGTAAATTACCTACCTCACTTACATCTCACAACTAGTTGATGAAACTGAGACTCAGAAAGGCAAATATCATTTGTTCCAGTTGATACAGACTGTAAATGGCGAAGACAACCCTAGAACCCACCCTCGCAGATGACATTGGCTGTGCTCTGAACCACTCTCCTAGAGGAAGGCGTAATAGACCAGAAAAAGAATATCATTTTTTACACATAGGTAGCATTTTCATTTATAAGAGAGCATTGGCATTTTCCTGGGTTCCACAAGAAAATAATTATTCCTTTCCCCCACCAAAGTCTCTCCCTGAAGAATCACTTCCCATCTAACATTATCCAATACTGGCCACCAACCACCAAGTATTTTTAAGTCAATCCATTTAAATATTGGACAGACTACCATGCTGGGAAACAGAAAGTCCTGAGTGTGGACTACAGAAATGCCCACAGCATCCAGCTGTTTGCAGCATCCTCTGGCTATGCTCCCTTTAAGATGCCCAGTTTGTATTAGAGTCAAATGAAGGCTATCTCCATGAATACATAGAGGCTAATGAACATTGTTATTCTTGTGTAAACACATAACTGCCAGTCTAGCTGGGCTTTCTTGGGGGTAATACAACAGCATATAACAATTTTTTTAAATGCATATAATGTTTGCCCTAACAATTCTAATGAATTGACAAAGGACATAATCATAAGTGTGCCCAAAGTTTAGCTAAAAGGTTATTTATTCATTGTAGTGTTGTTTACAATATGATAAATGAAAACAAACTACAAATCCCAACATAGTGGATCAGCTAAGTTAATCATGGTACACATCAATACAATCGTTCATTTCATTAAAACGTATGCACCATATATTAAGTCAAAATGCAGCAAATAAACTGTATGCACATTCAGGGCTCATTTTTGCAAAATAACATTAAAATGTACATAGACATGTATAAAACAAGGAAAAGATGCATCAAAAAGTTAATAATTGTTATCACTACATGTTGGGATTATATATTAATTTTATTCTTGGTTTTATGTGTTTTCTAAAAAAATCACATGCATTACTTTCATTATAATAAAATTAAAAGAAAAAATAGGCTATCATAGTGTCTCCACATAAGGATCATAAGCTCCCCTATGTTCTAAAAAGATTCCTATTTGGATCACATGAATTTAATGAAAATGTATGCTTAGCGATTTGGTATTTGTTCAGAAGTAAAAAGTTTTATCATGAGTTTTAAAATATGGAAATTTCTTATTTTTATCTCATCATGGAATTTGGAAAGAAATGTAACATTCAGTATTTACAGACATAATGATCACCTAAGTAACCCCTGTATGGCAATGAATTGGCAAAGGAAGATAGCCAAGGTACCCAGGAAAAAATCACTGAACACATATTAGCAACTTGGAAAACAGCCAGAAATTAATTGAAAATGAAGAATAATAACAGGGACCAGCCATGCAAAATATCAAAATATTGTTAAAAGCTACAGAAATTAATCCTCTTATATATGGTTACATAGTATATGGGAAGAGAGGCTTTCAAATTAGCTGTAGATAATGGACTCTCTAATAAGTGGCATTCAGATAACTGACCATTCATTTGGAGAAAAAAAAGAAGAAAAGATTTCTACCTCACATCATTCACAAAAGTAAATTTGATTCTGATTAAAGGGCCACATGTATAAAACCAAACTATTAGATAATTATAATAAAATAGTGGAAAGTACACATTATTTTTTGTTAACTTGTAATAGACTAGAAAGGTCTTTCAAAGCCATATGTAAATTCTCCAAGAAAATCAATTATAAATTAAACAAACTATATAAAATTTCTAGGATGCAAAATACACATAAAACAATTTTTTTAAAGTGATATTTTGGGAGAAAATATATGTAATGTTTAATGCAGAAAAATCAGCTGACATTTATAGCTCTCATAAATCAGTAAGAAAACTAGAAAGAACCTATAGAAAAATGAGCAAAGAATATGAATATGTGATTTAAAAAGCAATTCAAATAGCTAATACATGAATTAAAATAATGCTAAACATCACTAGTAATCAAATGAGTAAAAATTAAATAATAACATGATACCATTTCTCCCAAGTAGATTAATAAAATTTGTTTTAATTTGAAAATATTGAGGTCAACAATGTGGGTGAGATGGAGATTTTACACCTGGATTATTAGATTATAATTTGAGACATCTGTTCTAAACATCAGAATAATGTTATCTATCAAATACTTAACTAGATTTCTAGGAATCTATCCTCAAGAAAACCTCATGGTGAATAAACATATGCATACAGCATTATTACTAGTAGTGAAACAAAATATTATTCAACATGGGAATGATTTAAGAAAACACACACACCCACACACATACACACCCCTAGACCTTTATGTTATACAAAGATATGTATGTGCGCTAACAAATACAAATATGAAACCACAAACCAAAGCCTAAGACTAATTCAGTGGATCTTTTCTTCCTCTCCCAAGAGTATAATTTTTACTCTTAAGAGAGAAAAAAAGTGGAAGGGCAGAGCAACATTCTCAAATGGCCAAAGGACTCCTGGAAACCATAATGGGTAATTTCATCTTAAATTGCTTGCACTGCTGTCATGGCAAATACTTCATCTTCTCAAACTTTAAAAAACAAATCTGCCCTACACACAAAAACCGTGTGTGTGTGTGTGTGTGTGTGTGTGTGTGAGAGAGAGAGAGAGAGAGAGAGAGAGTGAGAGAGAGAGAGAGAGAGAGAATTAAGAAGAGGGTCTGAAGTTTCATTCATGGGTTTGGATTGAAGCCAGGGCAGATAATTTTTAAAAAGCTAGAATATAAAGAGAAATTAAGAAAATCAAAAGACGCAAGAAAGAGCCATGAAAATGTAAGCCTATCAGTAAATAATTCTCAGAAATCTTGGAGGTGGCATGTTCTCACCACACACCAATAATAGGAGTTCAAGAATATCTGTTCTAGATCATAAAGAGCAGAGGTGTCCTAGGTGGCCTGCAGGTTACATACGTTTACAAACATAATGACATAATGTTTACATTCATTGTAAAAAAATTACAGAAGGAATGTGTGCTAGTGTTTTAATCCATTCTTACAGTGCTATAAAGAACTACCTGAGACTGGGTAATTTATGAAGAAAAGAGGTTTAATTGACTCACAGTTCTGCAGGTTGTACAGGAAGCATGGCTGGGGGGCCTCAGGAAACATAATCATGGCAGAAGGCAAAGGGGAAGCAAGCACATCTTTACATGATGGCAGGAGAGAGAGAGAGAGTGAAGGTGGAAGTGTCACATATTTTTAAACTATCAGATCTCATGAGAACTCACTCACTATGACAAGAACAGCAAGGAAAAAAATCCACCCCTATGATCTAATCACCTTTCATCAATCCCTTCCCAACACCGGGAATTACAATTCAACATAACATCTGGGTGGGGACACAGAGCCAAACCTTATCAGCTAGTACACAAAATATACATAATAAATTGGAAAAGCCTCTTTTCACTGGGGAAGTCCCTTTGAGTAGAACATTGCAGAGTTCTAGAGACACAGTCATCGATACAGAGAGACATTGAATTGAACTGTTATTAAGACTATGGATGCTTTGTGGCTCTCCAGGAACAGTCTACTCTGCCTGGCTGGCTTGAATATAGCAAAAAGTGGAATACTGGCTGTCTGTATTTGGATAGATAAAATGAGTATAATTGTTTATATTCATTGACCAAATTTAGTAGACTTTTTAAATATAACTAGGTTTGTGGATCCAGCTGAACCACAGAATGAAGAACTGTATCTGTGTAGAAGTTGAGATCAATGAGTAAAATATTTTTTGTAGAAATTGAGAGAAAGACTAGTCCAGTTGATTCGAAGCGCGTAAGTATTCAACTTGGAAACTAAGTAGAGAACTGGCTTCTTGTTTCTTAGTAAGACTTAGGACACACTCAAGTTTGACCAGAGATAACATGTGTTAGAAATCTAAGAGACTAAAGACATCACAGATGATGAAAATGCATCTGACAAAGGCATCTATAAAGACAAACACAGGGATAGAAGCAAGAGACACTTTGTTGTTACTACCCATTGTCTCACCACATCAGACATTACTATTGGATCCCAGCACTATTTCAAGTGCTGAACCAGCTAAAATTCACAATCCTTTTTTTTTTTTTTTTTTGAGATGGAGTCTTGCTCTGTCACCCAGGCTGGAATGCAGTGGCATGATTTCAGCTCACAGCAACCTCTGCCTCCTCAGTTCAAGTGATTCTCCTGCCTCAGCCTCCAGGGTAGCTGGGATTACAGGTACATGCCATGACGCCTGACTAATTTTTGCATTTTTAGTAGAGACAAGGTTTCACCATGTTGGCCAGGCTGATCTCCAACTCCTGACCTCAGGTGATCTACCCACCTTGACCTCCCAAAGTGCTGGGATTACAGGCGTGAGCCACCGTGCCTGGCCTCACAATCCTTCCTAATGTAACAGTCCAGGCAGCAACCACCAACAGATCAGAGTTAACACAAGAGATCAAATATGTTACCACCCAGGTGATTGGACACAGACATGTAGAAACAACCTCTCTCAAAGATATCTCCTTGCCAATACAGAATTCAATATGTACATTTGGCCAGGGTGTGGATTACACATGTAGTTCGTAGCCTGAGTGATAAAATAAATTCCTGTCAATCACTTTCTGCCATCAAGTGGTACAGAACAGAGGTGAAAAATTTATATACTCACAGCTTTAGCCAGGAAAGAATACACCTCAGTCTTCAAATTTTAGCACCAAAAGAGAAAAGCCTAGTCATTATGTAGAAATACACAATGCTGGCAAGAATATAGAAGACTTTATTCCAACTCTTTACTTCCTCTTTATTGCTTCTCCCAAAAAAATTCAAAGCAGGGATTACCAGCTCCCCTGACAAACATGTCAGCCCACTCCACTCCTAATCTTACCAAGAACAGAAATCTCGTGCCACACAGTATTCTGCAGAGGGGGCAGAATTTCTGCTCAAGAGCTCAGAAGAGCCAAGAATTGCATTCTTCCTAGAGAAGGCTCTTGCAAAGTTTCTGCTGAATTGAGCTTTACATGCGGGTGGAAAACCTACTGTAAGGGATGTGGTTGCATTAATTATAAGATTTCAATTTGACAGTTTAATTAGGAAAAGGAGAGTTAGTGTAGGGCTTGCAGAATTCATGATGAATCACATACTCCAACAGACTTCATTTTCATATTTCAATTACACACATTTCTAACTGATGAACAGCAACATAGCATTTTCTGTTTAATAAATGTGATATCTGTTGGAATTGATAACATTAGTTCAGTAATTACAGAGCCATTATTGTCAGGCTTTTAAAAAATATGGAAAGAGGCCTTAGTTATTAAAGTTTAGCAACGACACAAAACTACATTTTGAAATGTTTCTACTAAAGAGCTTTTTAACAGCGCATTAGCTATCCCTTATAGATAGAAGGGTAAAATTCAATAGCAGGTATTTGCATGAGATCAATTTTGATCTAAGCACACCTTATTTGATTCCCAGACACACCACTGCAGTTATAATGTTCTTTCTACATCTTTATTCAGAATTCAGACCAAAAAACAGGGGAGTAGGACTCAATTGGTTGAATAACATAATTTAGTACAGGATCATGCTAAGATTCTGATATTTGCTTGAAATGATTATAATAAAATGTAAAAAAACCACATTTTTTTATAAATCTAAAGACAAGTGTGGATTCCAAGAGGAATAAGCTTTAAGTAACTCAGTCAAAACACGTACAAACTTATAAGTTTTTTTCCCAGAGTGCTTGCTTTGAGTTCTGGGAACCAATGTTGAAAGCTGGATGTGCTCATAGATGCATTATTGTCTTTGCATGGGTTATTACCAAACAGAAGTTCATTAAATCAAATACAGATGTCAGCTTCCTCCGGGACTAGGAAAAAGATCACGCCCTACAGTAAACACAACTGCATACACTGGATGTGAAGCACACTTCTGTTGTTTTAATTACTTCAAAATTTGTTCATAATGATCTTTTCGTAAACAATATCTTGAGTTCTATCCACCTGAACGATGAGCTACATGTTTACTCACGTACCAGGAAAGTCCTAATGATAATTTGCTTAGGGAAGCACATTCATATGTTTGTGTATGTTATGTATATTTGCATAGGTATCACAAATATTTCTAAACATTCTTGTCACAGAAGACAGAGTTTAAAAATAGTCTTGCAACATAATGTCACTTACTGTATGTTAGAATTGTACACATAAAGGGTTTGTGTCTTACATTCTCAAAAAATAAGTCATACTTCTTTCTATTATTGGTAACTCACTTCCATTAGCTTCCAGGAGACCTTGGTAGTACTGAACATTTTATTGATTGTTTCAGAATGTTAAATAAGATAATGACCACAAAGAGATTAGCATAGTGCCCAGCACATTGCTCAATAAATGGTAGCTATGATTACCATTAGCAAACCTGAGATTCTGGTACAAAAATTAAATAATACAAAAGTATAAACCCACAAAAATGATAATAAAACCAAACAGGTTTGAGATTTATTTCAAATTTAAAAAGAAAAATTGTAAAGGAATCACATGTCTATCCCCAAATGGCACACTAGCAAGAAAATATTTAAATATAGCTTCTTAGATCCTGACTTGACACAAATTACAGCTTGAAAAGTTGACATTTTCAGGATTTAGAATTGCTCTGCCCAGCCACGTAGTGGCAATATACAGACACAAACAAGAGAATCAGAAAAGAATACAGTTTAAGAGCTAGAGATTTCCACTTTCTCTCATTTTATAAATAACTGAAACCCAGAAAAACTAATCTTTTGCATAATCACAACAGCTAAGAGTATCAGACTAGACAGTATTTTAGCATAGTGAGTTATCCACTTTAGTCACAGTTGTCAAAGTATCACACAGAACCCTTGGACAACCAAAACCATTTCAGGGAGTGCATAAGGTCAAAACTAGTTTTCTAATAATCTTAAGACATTATTTTCTATACCTTCTATTGATATTTACACTTACGGTTCAAAAGAAATGGTGTTTAAAACTTTTGGCAACTTGGAATAAAGCCGGTGGCACCAAACTGTACGAGTAGTCATTGCATTTTTCACTGCCACACTCTCACTACGGAAGGCAAATAAACTAAAAAGCCATTGTCATTACATTCCGACCCTTGAGTCTGCATGTTTTTAATATTCTGCATGACAAAATGGGAAGTACACTCAAAGCACTTCTGCATATTGAAGGGCACTGGTTGTCTCCAGGGAAAGCACTATGTGATTGTTTGAATTTCCTCTCACCTAACCACTTTCCTTCATGAAATAGAATTTTTACTTGAAATAACAAACTTTGATTATCCATATTTGCTTATTTGGAAGACATTTTCTTGAAAAATGACAGATGTGACCCTGTTACACCAGGAAAAATACCTGGGCAGTCTTTTTGTTTTTTGTTTTTTCCAAATGCAAAATTTAAACTTTCAGGCAGAAATTAGAATTTTAGAAAATCTTTGATGGTGACAGTTTCCCAATATTTAAAAACTTTTTTGATAAATTGTTGGTCATGTTAATGAATGTGATTTATTGATATTGTATAATGAAATGTGCCAAATTTTGGTAGAAATGCGTATCTTAGCCAATAATTTCCAAATCTTGAATATATAATGCTATAAAATCACGCATGGACAAAAGATAAATTTAAAGTATAAGATAGATCAATGGATTTTAATGTACAGAGTATGAGAAGTTCTTGCAATGGTTTCAGATTCTACCTTTAAAAATTATTACCACGTGTTGAGTTTTGGAATAGTATCAAAGAAGAATATCCATAATAATCTGAAAATGTGATTAAAATATCCTTCCCTTTTCTAACTATGTATGTGTATGAGACTAGATTTTTTCATATTCTTTAACCAAAACAATGTGTAACAACAGACTGAATGCACAAATAGATATGAGAATCCATCTCTTTTCTATTAAACCATACATTAAAGATATTTATAAATATGTAGAACAATGCAATTCTTTGTATTAAATGTGTTTTTGAAAATATACATATATTTCAAAAAATATGTTACTTTGTATTTACATACAGTAATAACTTTAAAATTATTTTTAAATGAATTAATAGTTTTAAACTTTCCTAACTGTAACTTCTCATATGCTATATATTTGTATATATTACTCAAGAAAAAGGTGTTTTGGTCCTAAATAATTTTTAAGAGTGTAAAACCGTTCTGAGTCCTAAAAGGATTTTTTTTTTTTTTTTTTTTGAGAGGAGTCTCGCTCTGTCGCCCAGGCTGGAGTGCAGTAGCACGATCTCTGCTCACTGCAAACTCCGCCTCCCAGGTTCACGCCATTCTCCTGCCTCAGCCTCCCAAGTAGCTGGGACTACAGATGCCTGCCACCACGCTTGGCTAATTTTTTGTATTTTTAGTAGAGACGGGGTTTCACCATGTTAGCCAGGATGGTCTCAATCTCCTGACTTCGTGATTCACCTGCCTCAGCCTCCCAAAGCGCTGAGATTACAGGCGTGAGCCACCACGCCCAGCCCTGAGTCCTAAAAGTTCGAGAACCATTGTACTATATTATCTAATGGAGATGACAAATGGATTTCAGGTAGAATACAATCTTGGATCAATTGGTGTGACTGACTGGATTTGGTAGGGAAGAACTTGGAAGCCATGTTTTGAGTTATGAAGACAGAAAATGAGAAAATTTGGTATTGAAGCCACATTTTACCCAAGAACACACTGTGGGACATTACAGATTTTTCAGGATAATTCAATATCCTACCCATATTCCTCCTTCCTCATAGTGCCAAGCAAAGTAGAAGACTAGTAAATGTTTACGCATTTAACTGAGTCTCATTTTTAAAATCATGCCAATAACTTTTTTCACAAATGCTGACACAAGGTAGGGGGATAATGGTTATTATTCTAGGAAGCAAGTGTCAAAAAAAAAGTCTTAAGGTAGAGAGAATAAGAAGTATAATTACATAGGTTGCATTATTTTTAAGGGAACAGAATAAATTCCTTTCTATAAATAAAACATTTTCCCCTCATAGTTACTACCTGAATTCACTTTTATAAATAGTGATATGGCCTTTTGTTCTACCATGAAAATGTCAAAATACAAATAGTCAAAGGAAAAATAGCATTCACAATTTATTCAAATTCACAATAAATTAAAAATGATTGATATTATCTAGGTTTTGAAGTGACATAATTAAATGGAAATAATAGGGTAGTAGACCTCAGATGAAAGACATGCAGCAGATGGTGTGAGGAGACACTAAGTGTAAAAATTGGAGGTTCAAAAGAAAACTTTATTTTATAATTTGATGTAAAGCCAGTCATGTTTTGGGATTCCTGTAGAACCAAAAAACTTAAAAACTAAAAAATTTGAATTATGTATTTTTCAGCCCATACACAATACTGTACTACATAGAATGAAAATCTACTAAATAAAAATCATAATTGGCCCAGAAACTAAATCTAGATTTTGGCCTACTGGACTCCTACATGACATTTAACACACTATCAAGTTACTGGTGTGCATGTCCTGTATGCAGACTTTCAACAAGATTTCCTTCTTGCAATGGAAGGAAAGAAGGCAGAACTTTAAATAATCCGTGATGGCTCAGCATAATGGAAAAAGTACTAGAGTAGAAATAAGTTAACTTGGGTTCAACCCAACCCTCATAATTGTTATCTCTGTGACTTTGGATGAGTGTTTTGTGCTCTGTGGGACTCAGTTTTCCCGTAAGAAAAAGGATCTAATGATCTTTTTTTGAAATATAAAATGCAATAGTCTTAAATTTAATTATTTAGATAGGAAATTAAAATTTCTGTCACAGACATTATTTTTAGCATGTCTCACTGGAATTTTGTAGAACAATATTTCCTTCAAGGAAAATCAGAATACAGAATATTAAAAGCATTTTAATGAGACAAATTATATGAGGAGAAAAATCTATATTTAAGCAACTCTTTTGTTTATCTCAATTTTTCATTAACTAGTTAAGAGCATATATTCTTTCATCAGCTTTCTCCAGCAATGCCCAAAGGACTACTACCTGAATGATATAAAAAATGTTTTAAAGAGTTTAAAATGGGGATTTGTTTCTATCAAAATCCATCTCTAGCCATTTCCTGAGGGAATTTTAAGAGTTCAAGATGTCAAAATCCTTTATTTCCCAGCCATTATACAAAATATGTAACTGTACAGAATGAAAATTTACTCTTTTCCTCCTTTTTTTTATTTTTTATTTTTATTTTTTTAATTTGAGATGGAGTCTCGCTCTGTCGCCCAGGCTGGAGTACAGTGGCGTGATCTCTGCTCACTGCAAGCTCCGCCTCCCGGGTTCACGCCATTCTCCTGCCTCAGCCTCCCGAGTAGCTGGGACTACAGGCGCCCGCCACCACGCCCGTATTTTTAGTAGAGACAGGGTTTCACGGTGTTAGCCAGGATGGTCTCCATCTCCTGACCTCGTGATCCACCCGCCTTGGCCTCCCAAAGTGCTGGGATTACAGACGCGAGCCACTGCGCCCGGCCCTTTTTCTCCTTTTATTACTTCAAGAAATGCTGAAAATAAATTTTAAATGTGGTAGTGTTTGTCATTTTAAGTCTGTTGACAACTATGTTTGGTCACATTTTCCCCCCAGTGTTTGTTGGAATAGAATTCCAATTCTAGAGTCACTTTAGAGTGGAAAGAGCAATTTTTTAAATATAAAAGTTAATACCAAATGCTTAACTCTCAATAGCTGTTAAAGTCTCCTTCCTTTTTAAAGAATGTGCTGTATCAATATAGCTTCAATATTCTTTACCAATAACAACTACATGCAAGGTTTCACTAGACCACCAAAATCAGCAGTCACCTAAATTCTCTACCTGGGCTAAGTGTGTCAGTAACTAGCTCTAATCCTCCCACTTACTTTCAACTTTTTCTTTTCATTTGGAACTCTGACATACATTGATATATGTATGATTTTTTTCTTAAGCCCTTCGAAAAAACTAACAACAGGTAATTAAACACCAAATAACAGGGGAATGGCCATCAGATTATCCCGATTACAGTAGCTTTATTTGGAGTAACTTTCCCTCTTACTTGCCAAAGGCTGTGTAGCTAATAGGATTATTGATGTGGAACAGGAAATGGAGAACAGTTGTCAAGGTGGGGCATTTTTTTTAACCCAGGTAATCAACAAAGATTCATATGTTGGTCATGTTGGTCTTCATACAGAATAGTTCACAATAAGAATACTTCAGATTATAACATTTGCTCTGCATGCAGTAGTACAGACAGGCCATTGCCTCTGAGTGATGGGATCATCACTCACCTTGGGCAGAGGGCAGAGGGATGACTTTGAGAAGATAAAGTCTGGATCTGGGCTGGTTACCACCTGTTCTGGGTAGCCTGCTTGCTCTGACCAGTCTATACATTAATTCATACACATAATAATGAACATAATGGTCTCCAGTCTTAATTTGTTTCATGCTACTGTTTTCTCCCCTCACTTTATTGAAGTATAATTGACAAATAAAAACTGTATATATTTAAGCTGTAGAATATGGTTGTTTTGACACACTTACCTATTGTGAAGTGATTACCACAATCAAGCTAAAATTAACACATCCATCACCTCTCATAGTTACCATTTGTGTGTGTGTGTGTGTGTGTGTGTTGGGGGGTGTTATATGTGGTGAGAACACTTACGGTCTACTCTCCTAGCAAATTTCAAGTATACAATACATTATTATTAACTCCTGTCATCATGCTGTACATTAGATCTCTAGAACTTATTCATCTTGTAACTAAAAGTTTGTACTGGCTGACGCTGTTTTTCTAATGACGTTATTTTCCTAATGAAGTTTTAAATTATTTTTTAAATTCCAGGAAAAGTATTTGTAACAAATATAGAAGTTCTCTAAAGTTTTGCTGTCCTTTAAAATACAAGTCAAGGATCAATTATCAAAACAAAGTCATTCTGTTAATCAGTTTACAAAGGTGCGAATTGTTTGTCAGAATACAATGCCAGGGAGGCTGCTTTGTTTAATGACAACCCTAACAGCAAGAATCCCTGGGGCAGGAAGTAAGTAATCAAGAATCCATCTCTGAAACTTTTAAGAATGCTGGCAACAGTCTATTATAATGCATGGTTATGGGGAGACCTTGTACAGAGAACAATACACTGAAATAGACCAGACTTGTTACGAAACAATAAACTTAAATATAGCTTTGGACCTGACACAGCTAAGTAATTTTGCCTTCTAGGATCCAATTTAACACTCCGGGCTAAATATTTCAAACAGATTTTTTTTTTTTTTTTTTTTTTTTTGCTGTCCACATTGCATGCCTGAATGCATATATCATAATTACATTCTGGTGTGCAACTTCAGCAATGTGTGTAGGTCCACGCAGGGTCATGATGTCATTAAAACCCAACTAGAACTGCTGAGGAGATGTAAAGATTGTTTGATCAATCAGATATTTGAATGTATCGATGCACTCATCCTGTGTTAGAAGAGATAAAGGATACTAAAAATTTGTTATAATACATTCTGCAAATATAGCAACAGGATATTTATTGTATGCAAGTGAAATGTCAAATGAAGAGAGCCATATAATTTCAGAGGAAGGACAAGAGTGAAGCTGAACTACAGAATTGGGTTTGAACTGAGCTTCACAGGCTCAGTGAGGAAAAGTGGAGAGGGAGAGAATTGCATGTTACACAGCAGACAGCTCAGTCCAACACCTGCGCTGAAAATAGGGGTTCCTGAGAACGAGTAGTGGAAGATAAATCCAGAAAGGCAGGTTGAGAGCCAAGCTGGCCTTCCAAACAGGATTCTTATTTTTTCAGCAATGTCCCATGACTTTTGGAGAATGTTGTGAGGGTTACATGACGAGCATCATTTTCCCCAACACAGAGGTGGGGTCAGGAATGCTGGGAAGAGGTCAGGGTCACTCAGAGAGTGACACAGGGAATGGCAGAGAGTCCTGTTTCCCAGTCCAGCCATCTCGCAGCCAAGATATACTACAAACTCCCTCCTCTTTCCCAGGTTCCAAAGTACTGAAATGGAATGACCATGCCGAAATGCTGGAACTGCCCCTTATTTTTTCCTTTCCCTGTGACGAGAAAGAAAAGAGAGGAGGACTATTGAACTTTAAACTTCCTGATAAACTATAATGTGGGAAAGTGCCATTTTTAGGTTTACATGAAGGAGCTACCTCTGAGAATGGCCTCTTGGCCTGTGAAAAACTAGAAACATCCCAGGAAGTCACTGAAATGTTGTATTACTGTGAGAATTTGTATAAAAATAAACACTGGATTATTTCAGGCCTAGTCCCTTGAGAAAATGAGCCAGAATTACTCAGAACTACTAGCCTAATCTTGACAGAACAGAGGAAATTAGCAACTGAAGCCAGATTTTTTTCCCTTCTAAAAAAATGAAAAAAAAAAAACCCCACTATTTATGATATTTTGGAAAATGAAAAAAAAAATCAGGTTAACTCATGTGATTCCAAATGACCCTAAAATTAAGATGGCTGAGTTCTCTGATGAGAAAATGCAGTACAGATCATTGCCCCTTGGAAGGTGTCAGCTGGAAGCTACAAAGGCAGGAAAGCTTGAACCCATAGATTCAAAAAGTCACATAATTTAGCTGCCTATAAACCCTATTCTCTAGAGCTTGGTGGATTTTTTTAAGCTCTGCTCAAAAATTTTTTTTCCAAGAGACATAAAGATTTAAAAGCCAAAGGAAGCACATTCTATCACATGTCACTATGGGAACTGCTCCCAGGCATGCTCAACAAAGTGCTTCCTTTCCACTGAAAAATAATTTCCCATTGAATCTCTGGTTTGAAAGAACTCTACTCATTGAGAATGCCAAATCACTCCACTACTGAATTCATATTTGTAACAAGAATTCCTAAACAACAGCTCAGAGTCATTTATTGAAATGTTAAAGGTAATTTCCTCTTCTAGGCAATTTCTTCTTCATCCTCTATACTTTAGTTCTATCAATATGGCATATACACATTTGGTACCTTCTCCATGCCCAGAACTGTTCTTTCAACTGTAACAGTGTAAGCCATAAGCCTCTGCTCAAGGAATTAGGCCACACAGGCAGAGCTGTTGGATGCGTAGTGTCCTGGGTTTGTTTTTTTTTTCTTTTTTTCTGGGGCCACAGAGATAATCCAGGGCCTTCCATGGATCCGAAAAGGCAGATAAAGTCAACATCATACCCCCTGTTTTTCCCTGCTAGCTGTGACCTTATAATTCTTAATTCAGACAGTGAAACAGCTGATTGCCAACTCTTTTCTTTGCAGGATAATCGGAGTGATATACACCCGTGGGTGCTGTTGTTCACCCTGTGTCACATGGATTCACTTCTTCATTTGTCCAGATGCAGCTACTCCAGGGTTCCAGTGGGCCTCACTTCCTGAAGAGAAACTTAGAAAAGGGAGGTTTCCAAAAAAAACTGTATTTCCCATCCCTGAGGTTATCTCTAGGCCATAAGTGGTATTCACTATCTCCTTCCTTCACTATCCATTCTAATTTCCCCTTGCCCTCATGGATCCCCTCTCCTGGAATGGTATCTTAATTGGTGGAATGACACAAAACTTTCATTCTTAAAGGATCTGGGCCCTGATGACCACCCTTTTCTCAGGCTGGAGTTGCTACATTTATGCATTCACAGCCATAATTACACAAAGGAACATGCCAGGAAATGTCCAAATAGATCAACTGAGTGTATTCTGGTCTCCCTCATTGAATAACAGTAGTCCTGCCTGCTCCTGCTATTCAAGTCAATCACTCCTGTAACATAGTAATTACTCTTCTAACCTGTTGGGTCCTGGATACAGGACATCCAAAGTGCTCAAGCAATAGCCAGAGATTGGATCTCAATGATATCCATGCTGTGTCACTAAGGAGGGTGTGCTATACTTAGGAACCAGGATCTCTACCCTAGAGAGCCCAGAGTGGAAAGGACAGGGAATGCAAAGTCCCCCAACAGGTCATTGGAAATGACGGCAAGTGGGACTACTTCTGCATCCAAACCTTGGTTCCTAGACCCATGAATTTCTCCATCAGACACAATGCCATAGAGCGGTATCTGATTTGCAGAATATACTACATCTTGGAGCAATGTGCCATATCCTTCCAGAGCATTACCCTTCACCAGGGCATTCATATGCATTAGTCAGGCCATTCTAACACTCTGTTCATCTGGTAGCCTTTCCATGTTGTGGTATTTAGTGTACTCAGTAGATCCCATGGTCGTTGTCCTGCTCCTACACTTCTTTAACTGTGAAGTGTGTTTTGCTGGGGGACTCTATGCACTATGGGATTCCATGCCTGTGGGTAAAGCACTCTGAATGTCTCTGGATGGTGGTGTCTCAAATATTATTTAGAAAGACAAACTCAGGTGTTTGAATATCTTAAATATCATAAGAAAGAGAAACTCATGTTCAAAACACATCTATTTCTGTGAGAAAAACAGCTGGGCCTTCTAGGACAGAGTGAGGCCAAATGTAGTCAACTTGCTACCAGTGGGTGGTTGGTCTCGTTAAGGAAGAGAAACATTTTCAGAGACTCAGCATTGACGATAGCTGATCAATGCTGAGTCTCAGCCTTGGCAAATGAGAGTCATGCTGTTGGGCTTATGTGAACCTTCCATCTCTGCTGCTGAGTCCTTTCTAGTCATGTGTTCATTAAGCCAGTTCTGGGGTGGCTTATGACAAAGGCAGACTAATGTCTACCAACCAAGTCATTCTTACCTACTTTGTAGTTCCGTGATTTTTCTACAATAATGCTTTCTGGTGGGTATTCACAAGCCATAGAAAGCTCTTCACACTTTGTGCCCACTCCCATGTGTTCATCCACATGCTTCTACCTCAGACATTCCTATCTTCAGTTTTCCAGGCCCCTGAGAAGCCAGCCAGGTTATTTGAATTGCTCATGACTCTGTATATATTCTCACTTCAAGCTACTTCTTCCACACAAAATAGCTGTACCACTTGAAACTCTGACATTGGAAAGATTTCTCTCACCATTGTCTGAGTGTAGCTTATAAAGCAACCACGTCTATTTTTGGTTTGACCCATATACTGAACCAACCCATCTGTAAGTTAAGCTTGGACTTGTTCTGCTTCTTCAGCAGTCATGAAGGACACCTGCATTGCCCCTATGGTCATAGATGTGAGCTGAGGAAAGCTGCTGGTGCAACCCTGTGGCTGACGTGAAAAGTCAATGACGTCTAAGCTACCTGCTCATGCAGATTTCTCATCCTCACTTGTCTGCTCAGGGTCAATGCAAATTAATCATTTATTATGATCAACTGATGCTGGTTTCACTCAATGCCTTGAGGGATCCAACAGAACCCAGCTCATATGAGTCTCTACAAGGGTCTAGTAACATCATGAGGCAGATGCTACCCCTCTGTTGATGGCATAGCCTTTCTCTATAACCCTAGAGCCTTTGGTTCTCTAGAACCCTAGAGCCTTTGGGATGATTCTCCCAATGGGCTTGACATAAGTTTTACACTGTACCTTTTCCCACCACTGACACCTCCAGCATCATAGGATCTGCTAGATAGCATACCCAAAGAAAACATTTGCTTGCCTTGCGTCTGAATCTGCCACATAGCCCTTTCCTGTTCCAGGCCCCACACAAAGCTATAAGTCTTTTGTATCATTTAGGATATCCGCTGAAACAATATGTCTAAGTATGGAAGATATTACCTCCAAAATGCAAAGAGGCTTACCAAATGTTATACCTTCTTTTTTAGTAGAGGATACATGCACCAATTTGTCTTTTATTTTAGATGAAAAACCTGGCATGCACTTGACCACTGAACCCCTAAAAACTACAAAAGTGTCGGGTCCCTGAATCTTCAAAAGGTGTATCTCCCAACCCCTGGGACACATGTGTCTTACCAAAACCTCCAGCATCCTAGCCACCTCTTGCTCATTCTTTTTTATCAGCATGGTATCATCAATTTAATAGATCAATATGATGCTCTGTGGGATGTCTAGATGGTCCAGATCTTTTCTGACTATCTTATGTGAGAGAGTTGAAGCATTAACATATACCTAGGGCAAAATATTAAGTGTATACTATTGTCCTTTCCTTGTGAATGCAAATTATTTCAGATTCTTTTATTCTAATTGCAATAAAAAGAATGAGTTTGCTGTCTCAAAGCCTCATGCCATATGCCCAAGAATTCATTAATCTATTCTAGCAAAGATATTACGTCCAACACAGCAGCTGCAATCAAGAATATTACTTGGTTGAGTTTATAGTAGTCTATAGACATTCTATTTGGTTTCTGTAGGGACTAGACTTGTGAATTAAATAGAGAAATGATAGAGAGCACCACTCCTGCATCCTTAAGGTTCTTGAGGGTGATTCTAATCTCTTCTATCCCTCCCAGAGTCAATACTATTTTTTATTTACTCTCTTGGTTGAAAGAGGAGGCAATCCCAAAAGCTTCTACTTGGCATTCTCTGATAGCTCTTACTCCACAGGCCAAAAATTCAACTGGGGTTATTCCAACTGCTGAGTATTTCAATTTTACACTTGGGAATTGAAGAAATGACATTTGGGTGAACGTACTCTAAGAATTTACCCAAGACTCCATTGATTATTTGGCCCATGTATTCCCTGAACTTGAACAGGGACATGATAATGCTTCAGATCTCCAGGTATTGTCAGTTGAGACCCTATGTGCAACAGCTCTGAGAATATCTGGCATTCCTCTTTCTCCAGTGTATGGGCACCAATGTAAATACTCATAGATCCATTTGGGGAAATATCAGAGGAATCATACAGTAAATACATGACATTGTAATACCACGTGTTCTCTGGGGGATCTAGCCATCACATCAGTTATTGGATTCTGTGTCAAAAAACTGACTCAGGTCTTGAAACTGGACAAGACAATGTGACTTCCTTTTGGGGCAACCACCCTCAAATGCCTGCTCATCTGTCCTTGTCTTCTTTTTATTGTGTATGTTAAGTAACACACAAAATATCTGTCTATTTTTGACCTAGGAGTACCATGTTCTATTAGCCACCAAACTGCCCTGTGGACAGCCTTCTTGGCTGTTCCTTGGACTTTGCCAATTCTTAAAATAATAGTAATCCCCTGGCTTTTAATGCTTAAATGATGACACATCAGCTCCATTTCTTCAGAGCCTCATCATTCCCATGAGCTTGTGAAGATACCAGCTTTGTGACTGCTACCCCTGAGAGTTATTCTAACAATAAGTTTTCCCTTTTCTCTGGGATCCTTGGCAGGGTGTTAAATCCCATGTGCAGATAAAATGCCCTTAAGTAAATGAACTCTTGCTCATGCAGTCTTATGTTCCAGCTCTCTTGATCAAACATCCTCAAAATCCAATCCCATGACTCCCATCAGTACATGCTAACTAATCCTTGCAGCTTCCTCAATGTCTGCTGTAAGTATGCCCTTTACTCTGATCCTCAAATTCACAAAGCATCTTTTATTTGCCCTCAATCCCATTAAGATCAAGCCCTAACTCATATGCTTACAATAAAGAGCATAGCCATACATTTATGTTACAAAAGTGTTTAATTTTAATAAAACAATTTATATCTGTTCAGATTCTTTAGCGCAGGAAGTAGAAACTCCCATAGTTGTCCTTAGGTTTTGATTCACCTTAAGCTGAGTTTCCCTCAGAACCACAATATGGATGCCAGTGGCAACTGGGCCACTAGTTTAGAAGGGGACAGAGCAAGCATTTCTTTCCTCCAAGCAGAAATAAAATCTCTCCTCTCTGGTGTGATTGAGGCAATATGGCCCATACGCCACTGCTGGCACTGGACCATAAGAGTCACTGGGGATACTGCAGCCTGATTGGCTCTGTCTTGACTAACTCATTAACCCCATTCATAATACATAGGAATTTTTGACTTCTGGTATATTTGCTTTTGTTATTTGTGATATTTTTGTTTTGTTTTATTTTGTTCTGTGCTGTTTTTACAGCTATAACCCCAGCACATAAAATAGTGCCTGGTCATAATTGGTACACAGTAAGTATTTGTTGAACAAATGAATGAACTGAGTAATTAGGATGACCTTCTGAAGGTGAGGATAGGGTGGATTTCTGAGCAGAATTGAGGAAACTATCAGGAAGGAGAAATACACTAGGCAATATCATCTCCCTCTCTATTTTAAAGCAGACATAGTGTAAGCAGTTCTCTCTCAAGCTGTGGGCTGCCACATTGTGATGGTTAATTTTTTTGTGTGTCAACATAACTGGGCTAAGGGATGCCCATCTAGCTGGTCAAGCATCATTTCTATGTATGCCTGTCAGGGTGTTTCCAGATGAAATTGGCATTTGAATTAGTAGACTGAATAAAGAAGATTGCTTCACCAATGTGGGCAGGTATCATCCAATCCTTTAATGCCTCAAATAGAACAAAAAGGCAGATGAAGAGTGAATTCACTTTCTCTTCCTGAAATGGGACATCCATCTTCTCCTGCCCTTGGGCAATGGAGCTCCTAGTTCTCCAGCCTTTGGACTTTGACTTGGACTTATACCAATGGTTTCCCTTATCCTCAGCCCTTTGTACTTGAACTGAATTACACACTAGCTTTCCTAATTCTTCAGCTTGCACATGGCATATTGTAGGACTTACCAGCCTCCATAACTGCATGAGCCATTTCCCATAATAAATTTCCTGTTACATAACTATGTTACCCTAGTTCTGTTTCTTTGGAGACCCTGACTGAAACACACATAAATATTTCAATAGAAGAAAACAACTTTCAATTGATATGTAGGATTAATCAAACAAATGCTCTTTGTCCCTGAAAGTGTGTTCGGCCTCAGTTTGGAAATGTTTACTTCTCTTGGTATTAATAAAAGTTAAGGCATTTTTCTCTATGTTAAAGAATAGTACTTTACAATGTTCTTAAGGAGATATTGTACTTTTAACACTACTATACACTCATATGTCTGATATTCAAAATAATCACTCTCAAGCAATATAATATCTAAAGTGAGAATTCAATATCTTCTGCCATTAACAACATCATTAATAACAAATGTCTGTTTAATTACTCTTGCTAAGATTAAAAAGGCCATTATTCTTGTAACTTGAGAAATTCATTAGCTGGAAAAGGCTGCTTAATGCCAAATGCACTCCTTAAAGATGTAGTCCCCGATATTTGAAGGTATTTCTGACATTCATGCACTTGCATTACTTTAAAAAAGCACTATCCAACTGTGCTGAAGATCATGCTGTGACAATAAGCAAGCACTGTAACATTTCAAAATCAGAAATGAAGCTACAAGACATTTTACAATATCATACAGAGTCTGTTCTTTGGAATATTTAAACTCCACACACTGAGCCTATTATTCATCATTCACCTCTCACTAATTCTGTGCTCAAATGAGTCTTGTACCAACACAGTGCATCCTAAAGTACAGTTAATATTCATAAGCACCTCCTCCAAAGGGATTCAGAGCCATAACTTAAGATCTCTGCAAGTCAATTTTAAAGTCTGAGACTTCAAGGAATTTAGACCCATTAAATGAAAATTACAAGATGGGATTTTAGAACAACATCATTCTTAATCCACTGTTTCAGCTCAATATATTTTTAGCACAGAAACCTACTTAACATTTAGTAAGAATTAGATCAGTGACAGTGTACTCACAGAAAGCAATTTAAATTGCTTCAATGATAATGGTTATATACCATGTGTTGCATCATTCTTTCACTCTTTTGCCACTGTAAACCATAAAGCAGAGTCATAAAACAAGCTATAATGAACGATTTCGCCTTGCTTCTGAAGTGCATCTACTCACTGAACCTGATTGCATTTTGCGCTTTCATAGGTTAGGCTCTGAGAGATAAGATTTCAAAACCAGAGGGACAGAAAGAACTACAAAGTTCAAGCCAATGAAGGTGAATTACTATCTGGGAGAAAGTTGCTGCTCATAAAGAGGAAGTACGCGTCTTGCAATGAGAGAATGTTCTCCCTTTTTCCTTCCTTCCTCCAGTAATATAAATTGGTTACCTCCTGTGTTGGGAACTATGCTACAGCCTATCCAGAGTTTAATAAGACATGATGTCTACCATCCAGTAGCTCTTACCACCTGTTTGAGGCTGCTAAACCTGCTGACCGGTGGACCCAATCCTGTTGCAGGTGCTGTGCTGGATGTTTGTGCAGAATGTAGTAAGACACAAAAAGGGAGTGGGAGGTTCTTTAGAGGCAGTAAAGGCATATGAAAATCCATTTGAGCTTTGATGGATCTTGAAGGATAACTAGAGCCTTGGTCATTTCTCTTTACTTGTCTTTCATGTGATAGGGCAAGGTGGGTGAAAATAGTCTGTACCAGCCTCTAGCTTTAGTCAGTGAGCTTGACATCTGTTCCTTTCTCCTATGCATGTGACTACAGTTTTTCTAGTTTGGTCTATTTATTTGTTTGTCTCCATCTCTCTGGAGAGGCACTGGAAATGGGCTCATGGCTTCAGCACCATTTGCCACATTGCTTCTTGGGATGCTTACCTTTAGAAAAGGCAATGTCTTCTAAATTTTGTCTGATCAATTTTTATCTATCATTGCTCTCTGTTGGGATGCACTGGTGCTCAAAGTATAAACATACAAGGATGATAACCAAAAGCTAGAGGTTTAATTTTTCTTCATTTCTTGACATGAAAATGCAGTGCTTAACTGATTTTAAGTACTTGGGACGATTAAGTTCATTGATGGTGCTGTAACAATTTGTGATAGTCAAGTGAAAGTGACACATACTTGATTATGCAGAAAATAAGGACAGCTCACTCTAAGGGGAAATTCTCTGTTAAAATTAGCCATCAATAAATGAAGTGCTTTTCTACTTGCTAAATTCTCTGATAGTGAATGTGGGAAAATCAAAGTTCAATGTCATTAATTAAGAAAGTCGATAAATATATCTATTTTAGAAAGATTATTTTGATTACATGACCTGTTATCTCTAAGATTTTTATGATTTTATACAACATTATTGTTTTAGACAAAGCAATAATCTTTTTGGTCTTTAAAAATTCGAAGACAGCAATATTCTGTTTGTTTTCATGAAGATAAAATGATGGTATCAAGAACAATTGCATTAAAGTTGGCATGTTTTCTTATTTGGAACTTTTTACCAAATTAATACCTCCGAATTTTGATGAATAAAAGTATTGTGGGAACAAAACAAAAATACTAGATAGCATCCTCATCTGCATCAATGACATTCTTGTCAACACATGCAGAGTGTCTTACTTGATAACATGAATTGCTCTTTGACCCTGGCTGGAGCTTAGTGTCTGAATTTAGCTGTGCTATCTGTTTCTGAAAGAAGTGAAAGAAATAACAGGTAGAGTTTTATCTAGGAAGACTCTTTAAGTGTTAGCATTCCGGTAGGGAAAAAGGCCAGGATTCTATGGCTGTGGAATCCCTGGGGTTTTTAAAGATTGCAGAACAATCACAGTTAGTCCCCTAGGGCTGGAACACGGTCTGCATATTACAGTTCTGGTATCTGAGCAGTATCCCTGGCTCAGCTTGAGCCTTTAGATACCTAAGCCAGACTTCAGCTTGGCCCTGCCTTGTTCTACCTTATGTCATCATTTTTGAGGCTTCTGGTAAAGGAAATCACATATAATTTTTCACACAATGAAAACTTCATAAAATGCATTAAAATAATTCAAACATGCCACATGTTTCCTGGAGAACCTTTCTTTACTCTGCTACATCTTTACCACCCATAGCCCTTTGAGCTTGTTCCATGGAGTACAAAAGGATCTTCTTGCCAAACTCATTTGATCTTATCATCAGAAACAGCGTTTTAGTCTTCATGACTGGGGGTTTTATCATGCATGCTTTTTCTCATACACATATACAAACACATGCACATAGATATTCTAAACTTGAGTTTGCATTTCCATGGGAACTAAATAGACATTTATAGTACAGATAAAAATGAAAGGGGAAAGGCATTTTTTTCTTCTATAAAAGAATCATTTTTATTCTGTGAAACTCTATTGGGAAATTTTAAAAGGTAAGACTGTAACTCCTTAAGTGGAAAAAAAAAGCCTGTTTTTGCTATGAACATTAAAATTCACACAAAATTGGTTGAAAGTCTAGCCTAGGATAGAAAATGTGTGTGTGTGCATATTAAGAGAAAGACATATATAGATACAGGTATATATATATATATATATATATATATATATATATATATACATATATACACACACACACACACACACACGTATATATATAATTTTCCAAGTAATTTAATAATGGTATAGTTTTTAACTTTTAAAAATCCATGAGTATAAAATATATAAAATATTTTACATGGAAATTAATTTTCAGTGAAGGTGATTAGGCTTTAATTTCATGAAATAACACAAGGAACTGGCTTCACAAATAGGACAGGAATTTCTCATTTGATAAATCAGTTTGAATTTGATTATTTGGTATGTGGGTTGAAAGATCTTGGAGAAAATTTTGACTCAGAGTCACAGCTTTGTATTCAAGATAAAGTAATAGTAAGAGGATAGAAAGAAACATTTGATTTCTAGTATAGTTCTATTGGAAAACCTTTTAAGCTACCTTAACGAGAAGAAGAGGTCATTTAATATGAGGATAAAGGAACTCAAGAATAGGAATACAGCTGAACTTCAGGAAGAAATACACTGAAATCCAGAGCCAAAGGGTCATACATAATTTGAGAACTCTTCTCTCCTAATCTCTTATTATCCACTCCTATTATTACCCAGATATATATTCTTGTTGTGATCTCGGTCTAGCCCAACCCTTTCTGCTTCCTAAGCCACTTAAAAAGATCCTTCAAGTTCCTGATTTTCTAAAAGAGCAGTTAGAGTGGAGCTAAAATGTATTATTAATAATACAAGTTTATATTTTCAGGTAAATACTGATTTCCTAGTTTGGGTAAAATATTTAACTTTGGACAAATCAAGTGTGGCAAGGTGAAAAGAATCACATTTTATGCACATTGTTGCCCTGTTACTAGGTAGACTGAAGGGGAATAGCAGTCCTTAGAAAATGAGCAGGCAATAAGTTGAGCTACACTTACTGTGTACCAGGCAGATTTCAAAGACTATATGAAACCCTTCCTCCACCTGATGGTTTTTCTCTATCTTCCCTGGTAGCTGAAGACAAAAGACATAAACTCTTGAAAGCTCTATGGCACTGCCCATCACCTGAGAAACCCAGTACTTATCTTGGTCAATGTAGGGCAGGATTATATCCTCCTTCTGCTACTACAACTGATACTCTCACGAAGGCGCCATCTCCTGGCTGGAGGCCAACTAACTCAAGCCACTACAGTAACTCATAACAGAATAACTCTGCTCCAAAGAAGGAAAAAACAATAGCCAATTTCACCACCTTCAACACACTGACTAACCAGAGGTCCTGAGTCTGTCCACATGACAACTTCATTGCTAGCATTTGAGAAAACCAGTGCACTAAACAAAACCACAACCAGTGCACTAAAGAAAACTTCAGCCAGTGCACTAAACAAAACTGCAACCAAGGATTCCCACAGAGTCCACTTCACTTGCCTGCCACCTCCATTGCAGCAGGTGCTGGTATCCATGGCTGGGAGACCTGAAGATGAATACCATCACAGGACCCTGCAAACACTCCCCAGCACCAGCCTGGAGCTTGGTAGCCCTGTTAGGTAGCTAGACCCAGAATGACAATAACAATCACTGCAGTCTGGCTCTCAGGAAGCCCCATCACTAGGGCAAGGGAGAGAGTACCACATAAAGGAATCAATTCATGGACAAAAGAATCTGAACAGCAGCCCTTGAGTTCCAGAAATTTTCACCGAAACAGTCTACCCAAATGAGAACGAACTAGAATAGTAATTCTGGTAATATGACCAAACGAGATTCTATACACCCCTAAAAGATCACACTAGCTCTTCAGCAATGGATCCAAACCAAGAAGAAATCTCTGAATTGGCAGAGAAAGAATTTAGAAGGTTGATTATTAAGCTACTCAAGGAGGCACCAGGGAAAGGTGAAAATCAACTTAAAAATATTTTTTAAAAATACAAGATATGGATGGAAAACTCTCCAGATAAATAGATAGCATAAAGAAAACACAATCACTACTTCTGGAAAGGAAAGACACACTTAAGAGAAATGCAAAATACACTGGAAAGTTTCAACAACAGAATTGAGCAAGTAGAAGAAAGAACTTCAGAGCTCAATGACAAGGCTTTCAAATTAACCCAGTTTGACAAAGACAAAAAAACTTTTTTTTAAATGAACAAGGCCTCCAAGAAATTTGGGATTATGTTAAACAACCAAATATTAAGAATAATTGGTATTCCTGAGGAAGAAGAGAAATATAAATATTTGGAAAATTTATTCGAGGGAATAATCAAGAAAAACTGCCCTGGTCTTTCTAGAGATGTAGACATCCAAATACAAGAAGCTCAAACAACTCCTGGGAAATTCATCACAAAAAGATCAACACCTAGACACATAGTAATCAGGATATCTAAAGTCAAGATGAAGGAAAGAATATTAAGAGCTGTGAAGCAAAAGCATCAGGTAACCTAAAGGAAAATGATCAGATTAACAGCGGATTTCTCAGCAGACACCCTGCAAGCCAGAACGAATTGGGTTCCTATCTTTAGCCTCTTCAAACAAAATAATTGACAGCCAAGAATTTTGTATTCAGTGAAACTAAGCCTCATAAATGAAGTAGAGATAAGGTATTTTTTTAGACAAACAAATGCTGAGAGAATTTGCCACTATGAAGACAGCACTACAAGACATGCTAAAAGGAGTTCTAAACATCTTGAAACAAAACCTCAAAATACACCAAAATAAAACCTCCTTAAAGCATAAATCTCACAGGGCCTATAAAACAATAACACAATGAAAAAAAAGTATTCAGACAAACACCACCATGATGAATAAAACAGTACCTCACATCTCCACACTAATATGAATGTAAATGGCCTAAATGTTCCACTTAAAAAACACAGCATGGCAGAATGAATAAAAATCCACCAACCAAATATCTGCTGTCTTCAAGGGACTCACCTAACACATAAGTACTCACATTAATTTAAGGTGAAGGGATGGAAAAAGATATTTCAAACAAACAGAAACCAAAAGCAAGCAAGCATAGCTACACTTACATCAGACTAAACAGACTTCAAAGCAACAACACTTAAAAAGATAGTGACATTACATAATGACAAAAGGATTAGTCCAGCAGGAAAACATCACAATCCTAAATATATATGCACCTAACACTGGAGCTCCTAAATTTATAAAACAATTACTACTAGACTAAAGAAATGAGATAGATGGCAACACAATAACACTGGGGACGACAATACTCCACTGACAGCACTAGACAGGTCATCAAGACAGAAAGTCAAAAAAGAAACAATGGACTTAAACTATACCTGAAAACAATGAACTTAAGAGATATTTACAGAATATTCTACCCAACAACTGCAGAATGCACATTCCTTTCATCAGCACATGGGAACATTCTCCAAGATAGACCATTTAATAGCCCACATAAGTCCTGATAAATTTAACAAAATAAAAGTTTCAAGAAGTACTCTCCCAGCCCACAGTGGAATAAAATTGGAAATTAACTGCAAAAGGAACCCTCAAAACTATACAAAAACATAGAAATTAAATAATCTGCTCTTGAATGATCTTTGGGAAACAAGGAAATCAAGATGGAAATTTAAAAATTATTTGAACTGAACAATAATAGTGGCACAACCTATCAAAACCTCTGGGATACAATAAAAGTGGTTCTATGAGGAAAGCTCAGAGCATTAAATGCCTGTATCAAAAAGTCTGAAAAAGCACAAATAAATAATCTAAGCTCATATCTCAAGGAACTAGAGAAACAGGAACAAACCGAACCTGGACCCAGCAGAAGGAAAGAAATAAGAAAGATCAGAGCAGAGCTAAATGAAATTGAAACTATATATATATATATATGTATATATATTTATATATGTGTGTATATATATATGATAAATGAAAAAAGCTGGTTCTTTGAAATAGTAAACAAAATTGATAGACCATTAGCAAGATTAACCAAGAAAAGAAAAGATCCAAATAAGCTCAATTAGAAATGAAATGTGAGATAGTACCATCAACATCAAAGAAAACAAAAGATTATTGAAGGCTACTATGAAGATTATTATCCACACAAACTAGAAAACCTAGAAGAGATGGATAAATTCCTGGAAATATACAACACTCCTAGATTAAACCAGGAAGAAATATTAACAGAAACTCTGAACAGACGAATAACAAGCAGCAAGACTGAAACTGTAATAAAAACAAAATCCCAACAACAACAACAACAACAACAACAAAAATCCAGGGCCAGATAAATGTATAGCTGAATTCTATCAGACATTCAAAGAAGAATCGGAAATTACTCCCAAAGATAGAGAAAGCGGGAATCTTCCCTAAATCATTCTATGAAGCCAGTATTATCCTAATTCCAAAACCAGGAAAGGACATAATAACAACAACAGCAACAACAAAAATACAGACCAATATCCCTGATTAACATGGATGCAAAAATTCTGAACAAAATTTTAAATAACCAAATCCAATAGCATATCAAAGAGATAATCCACAATGACTAAGTGGGGTTTATACCAGGGATGTAAGGTTGGTTGGTTGAATATACAGAAACCAATAAATGTGATACAGCACAATTAAAAACAAAAATCATATTATCATCTCAATAAATGCAGAAAAAGCATTTGTCAAAATCTAGCATCCCTTTATGATTAAAACCACCAGCAATATCGGCATGGATAAACATAGCTTAAGGTAATAAAAGTCATCTATAACAAACCCACGGCCAACACTATACTGAATGAAAAGTTGAAAGCATTTCTCCTGAGAACTTGAACAAGACAAGGATGTCCACCTTCACCACTTCTATTCAATATGGTACTGGAAGTCCTTCCTGGCCAGAGTAATCAGACAAGAGAAAGAAATAAAGGGCATTCAAATCAGTAAAGAGGAAGTCAAACTGTCACAGTTGGCCAATGATATAATGGCATACCTTTGAAAACCCTAAAGACTCATCCAAAAAGCTCCTAGATCTGATAAATGAATTCAGCAAGGTTTCAGGATACAAAATCGCTGCTGGCGTATAGCAGTGCTACACAAATCAGTGACCAAGTTGAGAATCAAATCTATAACTCAACCCTTTTTGCAACAAAGCAGCCAAGTCGAGAATCAAATCAATAATTCAACCTCTTTTACAACAGCTGAAAAAATAAAATAAAATACTTAGGAGTATACCTTAGCAAGGAGGTAAAATATCGCTACAAGGAAAACTACAAAACACTGCTGAAAGAAATCACTGATGACACTAACAAATGGAAACACATCCCATGCTCATGGATGGGTAGAATCAATATTGTGAAAACGACCATACTACCAAAAACAATCTATAAATGTAATGCAATTTTCATGAAAATACTATCATCATCTTTCACAAAACTGGAAAAAAAAATCCTAAAATTCACATAGAACAAAAAGAGCCCACATAGCCAAAGCAATACTAGGCAAAAAGAACAAATCTGGAGGTATCACGTTGCCTAACTTCAAACTATACTATAAGGCTACGGTTAACCAAAACAACATGGTACTGATCTAAAAACAAGCACATAGACCAATGGAACAGAAGAGAGAACCCAGAAATAAAGCCAAATGCAACCAACTGATCTTTGACAAAGCAAACAGAAACATAAAGTGGGGAAAGGACACCCTTTTCAACAAATGGTGATGAGATAATTGGCAAGTCACATGTAGAAGAATGAAACTAGATCCTTATCTCTCACCTCCTACAAAAATCAACTCAAGATGGATCAAAGACTTAAATCTAAGACCCAAAACCATAAAAATTCTAGAACATGACATTGGAAAAACTCTTTTTAGACATTAGCTTAGGCAAAGAGTTCATGACCAAGAACCCAAAAAACAAATGCAACAGAAACAAAGATAAATAGATGACATTTCATTAAACTAAAAGGCTTCTGCACGGGAAAAAAAAATAATCAATAGAGTAAACAGACAATCCACAGAATGGGAGAAAATATTTGCAAACTATGTATCTGACAAAGAACTAATATCCAGAGTCTACAAGGAACTCAAACAAATCAGTAAGAAAAAACAAATAATCCCAACAAAAAGTTGGCTAAGGACATGAACAGACAATTCTAAAAAGCAGATATACAAATGGACAACAAACATTAAAAAAAATGCCCAACATCACTAATTATCAAGGAAATCCAAATCAAAACCACAATGAGGTAATACCTTACTCCTGCAAGAATGGCCATAATTTTAAAAATCAGAGAATAGACGTTGGCATGGATGTGGTGAAAAGGGAATACTTTTACACTGCTGGTGGGAATGTAAACTAGTACAACCACTATGGAACACAGTGTGAAGATTCCTTAAACAACTAAAAGTAGAACTACTATTTGATTCAGCTATCCCACTACTGGCTATCTACCCATAGGAAAATAAGTCGTATGAAAAAGACATTTGCACACCCATGTTTACAGCAGCACAATTCGCAATTGCAGAGATATGGAAACAGCCTAAATATCCATCAACCAACAAGTAGATTCACAAAATGTTATATATATACATATATATATACATATATATATACATATATATATGTATGTATATGATACACACACACACACACACACACACACACACACCATGGCATATTACTCAGCCATAAGATGGAACAAAATAATAGCATTTGCAGCAACTGAATGGAACTGGAAACCATTATTCTTAAGTGATGTAACTCAGGAATGGAAAAACCTAACATCGTATGTTCTCACTTATAAGTGGGAGCTAAGCTATGCAGATGAAAAGGCATAATAATGATATAATGGACTCTGGGGACTCAGGAAGGAGTGGTGGGAAGGTGGGAAGGGACAAAAGACGACACACTAGTTACGATGTACATTGCTTGAGTGATGGGGGCACTACAATTTCAGAAATCACCACTGAAGAACTTATCCACGTAATCAAACACCACCTGTTACCCCAAAACTATTGAAATAATAATAATTTTAAAAAGACTATATGAGTGAGAAATATAACAGGAGCAATTGAAGTAAGATATGAGAGAATTGGGCCGGGCACAGTGGCTCACACCTGTAATCCCAGCAGTTTGGGAGGCCGAGGCTGGCGGATAACAGCAAGAGATCGAGACCATCCTGGCCAACATGGTGAAACCCCATCTCTACTAAAAGTACAAAAATTAGCTGGGCATGGTGGCACGCATCTGTAATCCCAGCTACTCGGGAGGCTGAGGCAGGAAAAATCGCTTGAACCCAGGAAGTGGAGGTTGCAGTGAACCTAGATTGTGCCACTGCACCACTCCAGCCTGGCGATAGAGTGAGACACCATCTCAAAAAAAAAAAAAAAAGATGTGAGAGAATTATATGACCAATTCTTTAGCTCTGGATTAAGCAGAAAGTCAGGAAGCTATGCTGTAATCAGAGTATTGGGAGGGTAACTATGGTGGGGAGAATTAGGCAGTTTTATAAAGTTTTCTGTCCATTACCAATGTAAATCATGGAAGGGATAATACACATTTATAAGTATATGGCAATATTTGAATATCCCTGGGAAGTTTTCATCAGAAGGATCAAGGTCTCATACATGGTCTTTGAGAATTTTCCTTAAGGCTTTGCTCCTTAGACATGCAAACCCAAATATTACTTTTTTCAAGACACAATAGCAAATCCATCTCTTCAAGGCAGACTCATGTTAACCCTCCACTGAATGAATCATGAGGCTGCTATATATGCTCCAATGCAACACTTCTTTACATATGTTAGAATACATATGTAAAGAACATGATAGGAGACTGTCTAGAAATTAAGAAACATGGGACATAACTTCTTTGAATTTATCTCAGTGACACCATTGCATGTCTTCATCAAATATGTATAGAGGTGCTCATAGAATTATTTATATACAAAAATATAGCAAATAACCTAAATCGATCATGTGTATATTAAGGATAGTAAAATATAAAACTACAGTTTTACATCTTAACCATTTAAGAAATGACTCTGTATGTTCCAAATAAGAAGGCTCTGCATTTTAAAACTACATTCAGTATGGCTTTAAATAAAGAACATATGGGGAATAAAATTATAATCAAAATACTAAGGTATTAATTTACAGTGAGAAATATGTATACTTCAGTAATCAGAATACTCATGTCTAAATGATCAGCCAATTTTCTCTCTAAAGTGAGGCCTATCTGGGAAACCATATAATAATTAAGAGCTTGCTCCATGAACATGGAATTAGAACAAGAGGATTTTGTTACCAAAATCAATGTTTAACGGTGTCAGGATAAGAGAGGCTTTTGTATCTGTTTTTAGACAATGGTGATGGTGTTTCTATTAGAACAGGAAGAGCTGAAGGTTGTTGGCTACACTCTGCTATAGACTTTTCCTTGGAAAGTATGGTTTAGCAAATGTGATCACAGAGTTCCAAAGACTTTTTGGCTAATTACAGCTCCCTCCCTTGGGCAAGTTGTATACAAGGGCACATCTAAAGTTTATGACTTTCCTTTCTCTATACTTCATGTATGAATACTCTCATTATTTGACAAATTATTTCTTTAGCACCTTCATTCAGGAGGAAGACCAAGTTTTCAATGGCTTACTTTTGAAGCAACTTAGTGTTTCCCAGCTTTGATACAGTTATGTAAAAATTTTACAGTTTAAATTTCTAGGAACAATCTTATTCACCAATTTGCAAATTCTTCAAGGAAGCTTCTCCTTAAATCTCATGTAATGAATTTGTAGGTTCTCTCATACATTACTCTTTAATTGTTTGGGAATCTACTCCACATGAGAGAAAATGAATATCTACTACAGAATATTTAAAAGTCTTGTGTCACATCCTAGCTGATTCAAGTACAAGCCATCGAGAGACCTCCACAGTGAGCCACAAAAAGGATCTAGGACCAACCTAGGAACAACTCTAAAAGTAAAACTTGACTCTGAATGAGACAAGCCACAGTTCAAATCCAGAGGGAATTCATGACATCAGGAAGAGGTGGTATATGAAATGATGTAGTTGGCAATGTCATGATGCCGAGTGATGTCCTCAGTTAGAGTGAGAACCCTCTGCAGCAGCTCAATAAATGTGAAAATGTACCAATTTCTCTTAGACAAAGTATACTGTTAATCAATTCACAGTAAATAGTAAATGAAAAAAAGCTCGTGTACCAAGGTCAACAGCAGACAAAACAAAACTAAGGGCAAATAGCATTAACAGAGATAAAAAAAGAACATACATAATGGCCCACATAATGTTGAAACAATCTACCAATAGGATATTATAATTAAACTTACATATATTCGGTTGGTGCAATTACTTTTGTACCAACCTAATACCTAAAAAAGATAATTTTTAATAGGTAAAAGGAAAATGTTATAATATTATAAGAAAAATACTGACAACACCTTAATAAAAAAGGAATTTTCAGAAACTGCCAAAACAATAAGACAAAAAAGTAAAAACATGTAAAACTTGAACATCACACTTAAATGACTCTCTATGTTAAATATAATTAGAACACTGTGGCCGCCAACATACAAAACATTCAACCTTTTTAAGCACAGATAGAAACTTTTACCTATATTGCTCTACCGTTAGACACACAGAAATCTCAACAAACACTTGGAAAATTACTACCTCACAGATCATGTCTCTCAACATAGTTAAAAAATGAATAGTAAAAATACAATACAGTATATGTTTGGAAACTGAAAATGCATTTCTAAATAGCTCACAAGTTAAACAATAAATCTCTAACTAAATTATATGATAAAGAGGAAATAATTAAATACTGCTGCTTAAAGAGTAAAGGGGAAATTACGAAACATTTAAAATTGGATCGCAATGAAAGAATTGCATTTAAAAAACTTGTAGAATGCAAACTAATGCAAAATTAACAGATAAGTTTAAAATCTGAAATAGATTTGATAACTAAGACACTAAAAGTTAATAAAATAAAAAAATAGATATTATCAACAAAAGTTGGGACATTAGAAAAACTAGTAGAAAAAGACTGAGGAAGAGAGAGAACAAAGTAAAAGTATTAGAAGTTAAAAAAAGACAGATAAAACCACTGAAATGGTAGATATTTAAAATCAAAATACTATAAACAAATAACATTTTGAATTTCAAAAACATGTACTTTTCTAAAAATATACACATTATCAAAACTAAAAATAAGTAGAAAATTAAAAAGAGTTACAAATATTTAAAAAATAATTAATCCAAAATCAGTTATCATTAAAATATATGAACTCAGACAATTTTAGAAACTATTCTACAAAGCCTTTAATAAACAGATAATCCCTATCTTATAAAATCTGTTCGAGAATCTTGAAAAGAGGAAAAGCTACTCAACTTATTTCACAAAGTTAGCATAAGTATGTTTCCAAAACCAGGCAAGACTATTCATGAAGCTTGAAGAAACAGATTCTAAAATTTGTATATATGAGTAAAGAGCCAGAAATAGCTATAACAATTTTGAAGAAAAAGGAAAGGAAGAAAGAGTGGGAATGGGGGTGGTGCTCACTGGACAATGGAACATAATAAAGAGCCCAGAAATGTAGCTACACATAAATAGCAGCTTTACATATAGGTAAATATTACACTTTGGTGAGAAAAAAAACAGATTGTTTAATACAAAGGACTGGGTCACTTTGCTATCTACATGAAAAATAATTTCTTGTTTCTCTATGGATAGAAAAATCAAGTCAAATAAGGAAATTGGATTCCTCCACACACCATAAACAAAATCGATTCCAAACAGCTTAAGAAAATATTATATAAAGAATAAAACTTAACAACATTTCAGAAAAAAGAATGGAGACTATTTTACGGGCTTAGTAAAGAAGAATATGTCTTAACAAACATAAAGGGGAAGAAAGTAAAGACTACATTAAAGATCAAAACTATGCTATTACAATAGATTCCATAAACCTAGTTAAAAGACACATTTGTTTAATTTCAAGACATCCTTGAAAAAGATAACTGGATCTTTGTTATACAGCAAACAAGGAAAAAGTATTCAGATCTGGTAGATAATATATAACAGATAAGAAAACAGTAGTTACCTAATTAAAATTGGGCAAAAATTATGAACATTTACAGATGAGAAAAGCCCAATGGCCAATGAAAATATACTCCATCTGCCTCAGTTAAATCAACACAAATTTAAGATTATGTAACTTTTTACCCCAAAAATATTGACATAAAATTGTAAGATACTAAGAGTTGATGAAAGTGTGGTAAAGAGGATCTAATATACAAGGTAGGTAAGAGTACAAATTGGAGAAACAATTAGATAGTAGCTCATTAAGTTAAAGATGTGTAGGCATTCAGTCCAATAATTTTATTGCCTGGCATACGTACTAGAAATTAATCAAAATACATGTACAAGGAAGCTTAAACAATAGTGTTCATTTTTGTAATAGAAATTGAAAACAAGCTAATAACCATCAGTAGGATAGCAATACAGATAAATGGTGGTACATTTCTACATGGAACACTATAAAGGGTTACAATTAACAAAACATATCCACAAGAATTAAAATTGATGATTTTTGAGAACATAATGTTGAATTAAGTAAGAAATTTACAGAATGATGCATATTGCATGATTCTATATACAAAAATATTTAAATACATATTATTCTACATTTTCATAGATGCATATATAAATAGTAAAGGGAAAAAGGAAGAAACACTTTAAGGAAAAATAGAAACCAACTTTAGAAGAGTGGTTACTCAAGAGCAAGAAGGAAACCACAGCATCTTCAAAGACTGCAAAAAGGCCATCCATTATATTTATAATTCTTATTAAAGAACTATAAATAGAAAAAGAACTATGAATTATTATTAAACAACTATATAATAGAATAGCAAAATAGTAACATACTTAAACTTTGGTAAGTCTATGAGTGTTCGTTGTATTAAATTTTATCACTTTACGTTTTCTTAAACTTTTATAATTTAAATAAAACTTTAAAAAATTAAAAAAGAAAGTGAGAAAATCAGTTGCCTCTGTCTCAATGCATCCCTTTAGGTATATGCTTACAAACCAAGGTACTCATAATTTCAGCATGCACAGCTCTGTGCCAGAGGCTCAACAAAGTCACATCATAAATTAGCCACATCTTCTAGGAACATCAACTTTTTTCAGGGATAGCAGAGTACCCATAATTATGACAATATAAGAAGTATACATTTTCATAAGTAAGAGTTTGAGTTGCTTTTTATTATCTCTAAACTTCATTTCCATTCTACCTTTTCTCCAAAAGATTCTTCACTATCACCTGTAGCCACTATTGGAGATATTTTAGTAAAAATATTTTTAAAATATTGCCCTTGGAGAAACTGCATGTCCACATCAAATTCCTTTATAAACAAAAATCTATATCAGAATGAAGAACCCAAAGGGAGAAAATAGTCTCATATGGATTTACTCAACATTTGATCTCTTCTATTGTCAAACCTCTTTCTTCAGTTTCATTACTTTTGTATTTGTTGGAAACATAATAGCCAGACAAACACCAATGAATTTCTTTTACTGAATTGTGTTGCAGTGTGATGTGTTCATCCTCTACTGAGGGTCAGTGTGTAAAAGCCTTACAAAACTATAAGAACACTGCTGAAAAATGGTCATATTATACAATTCCATTTTATAAAGACCCTCAGTAGCAATTTTTTCTTGACTTCTTTCAAAGAAATCTTTGCTTCTTCTAGGTTGTTGATTTGTCATTATATTTTGAACAAAGTGACTTGTGGAACAGTAACAACTTCCTTTAAAGTTATAGTAGCTCACTCAGTGCAGGTAATACTATGTAGTGTCTTTTTCTTTTGTTTTGTTTATTTTTTTTTAAATATAATTGATGGTTTAGCCTTATGTTCCCCCACTTCTGTTTATCCTTTCCCTTTCATACCCACTTTTAAATTTTGCCATTTTGTTCATTGTATGTAACTTTATAAAATACCATAGATCTTAAATTTAAAAAGTAAGTTCATAAATAACAGCCTATAAGATATACACATATACTTTGAGGTTTACCAATCATAGGTGTATTTCTGCTTCTCAACTATTTGAGGTTTTTTAAATCAAGCTAATTTCTCAATTTTTATTCTGGAATTAAAAGGAGTTTTTTACTTTAATTCATTCTTGATTTGATGTTACTATGACAGTTAACTATACTTCTAAACTTTTCCCTTTGGTCAGATAGACAATGTAAAAGGCATTGTGTTTTGAGTCAAAAACCATGAAATCAAGAACTCACTCTGCCAAAAACAAGTTATATAACTTTGACCAAGTCAGTGGGATTTTTATAAAGCACACTATCCTTGTCTGCAAAATGTGCCCACGGGGATGTTTTTAGCATTATGTTAGGTAATGTATATAAAACCATATTTTAAATCATGAAGTTGCCTAAAAATATAAACCACAATAAGAAAAGCAAGTAATTTTGACATATAAAAACCTAAATTTAAATTCTGCTTCCATTATTTACTAGCTACAAGGCTTTGGGCCAGTCTCTTAATCTCTAAAATATCTAAAAAATTGAGATAACAACCTACTTCAGAAATAGCTATGAGAACCAAATGAGTAATATATAAAAAAGAGTCTTGGAAAATATAAAACAATAAAAATGAACCTATAATATTTATAAATGGAATATGTGACAATTATTTTGTTTTGCCAGATCCTAAAGCATTGCCTAAAATATAATTAGTATCCAACAATTCATGTAAATTGAATTAAACTATTTTTATAAATATAAAATACTTTTGAAGTGGGCCTAGTTTTCTCATATACATTTTCTCTCAGAACTTTTTTCTGAAATAACTGATTGAAAAGCAAAATAATAATAATAATGAATTAGCCAGGAGTCATATTTATACACACAATCGACTTTTCAGATATTTTTTCCCACTGCATTCATTGGTAACTTAAGTAATTTTCAAATAATTCAAAAACATATCTTTAAAAATATATAGAAATGAAAAAAATGCTAACATTAACATATGAAATATAAGTAATCTCTGTGCTGGAAATTCTTTTTGGAGATATCTCCCCATGCATGTTTTCTTCTAGTGATCCATTTTATCTTTCTGCATATCATCTAACATTTATTCACCCACTCATGACAAATATATGTATGGATGCATGCTGAATTCACATATGCCTGTGTGTGTATTCATCACTATGTGCTGGATACTATTCTAAGTACTAGGGCTATCCTATTCAGTAAAACAGAATCCCAGTCTTACAGAGTTTACATTCAGATAGGAAAATACTGATGATAAAAATATATGTACAGTAAATACATGATATTGAGATGAATGGTACCATGAAGATATACCAAAGAAGCATAAGGAAATAGAGAGCTGGACATGGTGGAGGGAAGGAAAATTTCCACTTCACTTAAGGTGAGCACAAAAGGGGTCTATGACAAGAGGTTATATAAAAGAGATGAGGAAATTAAAAATGAGGAAACAAGCCATGTTAATGTATGGCATATGTGAATTCCAGACAGAGAGAAAAAATAAATGAAAGTTCCCGAGGTTGGAGCACCTTTGGCATTTTCAAGGAAAAATAGGGAAGTCTATGTACCTGGAGTGAAATAAAAAACAGGAAAACTAGTAGAAGGTAAAATCAGAGACGTGGTGGGGGTTGAGTTCACAGGGACTTGATGGGATTATAAAGATTTGATGACTGCATTTTGAGTTAAATGAAGCAGGAAAAATTCAGTGAAACTGAAAAGGAGTGCATAGCTTAGGTTAAGTGCTTCCATATAGAAAGAGAAAGTAGACAGCCCTCCCCCTCTTGGCCCTAATGGAATAAGGATCAAGACGAGAGTCAGAGGTGCAGCAAAAGGGGCCAAACTTGAGGCAGGGGCCTACAGAAACTCTAAATATCTATGAGGAAATTTGGGAACATAATAGCAAAGGTCTTCTTTCTCCAAAGCCTGAGAGTCATTGCAAACATCTAGGAATAGTCTTGCAGGAGAGGAAGGAAGGGAAGGAGGTGGGTAGCTCAGTGCTGTTACAGGGAGGTGGCTAGAGACAGGAGCCAGAGGCTGTGATCCCAGTCCCCAAGGCCTATGTGGAGGGGCTTAGAAGTTTTTGCATGCCTCAGTAAGGGTTCAAGGTACTGAGAAGACTGGTGAAATAGCAGAGGCCTGGGGTCAGGACTAAGAAATTGTGGTGAGTTTTTAGTGTACTTGCATGCAAATAACTGGGACCATGAATCTCAGTAGTGGTTGCCTTCATGACAACCAAGGAGGCCAGCTGGGACTAGCAGCACTATCCTCATTGCCACCAATCTACCCAGATGCTATCTGGAGGTGAAAGGAAACCCAAAGAATCTCTTCTTTTTTCAAGAGAAATTGTCTAAAATATGAAGAGACTGGGAGACCATTAATTGTCAAGTTTTCATCCCACCACCCCTCCCTGCACAGTATTCAGTGACATAGAGGTCATGAGAAAGATTAGATTAGTTACTTACAGACTATACCCTTCATTTGCAATTTATAAATTGTGACCGTACCCTATACCTAGAATCTGGAAATTCTATCTCATATATCATTTATCTAAGATCTGTGCCATACATTAAAATGATTTTTCCCAGTTTGTGTGAGTAGTTATATAACCAATAAAATCTACTTTAAAAAGTAAAGACATTTACTATCAGCTTGACTTTATAATAAAACCAAGTTTAATTGTTTGAAAGTTTGATAAGGCATCTGCCCCATAGAAATGTCTTATTAGGCAAAATCTGTAGATGTTGGTCATTTGCTAAAGAGCCCCATTTTCTCCTCTCACCCCAATTTACTGAATGGGTCTGCTAAAAGCATAAGCTTTTTAGTCCCATAAGTAATTTTAAAATGATTATTCTAACTGAACTGCTCCTAAGATTTACTACCTATATTCAAGTGTAAACAAAACACTAGATCTCAGATTCAGTAAGGAACTTTTCCATTTCCTTTCTCTCCATTTAAGCTCAAGGCAGATATTATGATTTTGAAAGTAATATTTATTTGGATAATATCAGAAAACCAACCTAAACAAATTTTTTCTTCTCATGCTATTATTCTGAAACTTCCATGGTTATTTTTGTATACATTTTTCTTTCCCTCTTCCTTACAATCCTTATAACTTTATCCTCACTGGAGTTATTCTGTGTTGGAGCAGATAAACAAAATGAATTCTTACACTGTATTAGCCGAAGGGCAGCAGACATGAGAAGAAAAGAGAAGTGGTGTTCACAGTCGAAGGACGTGCTTTTCAGTAGTGATTCAGACAATTCAGAAAAGCTTACTCATCTCTTTCCTATCTGCTAGTGTGACCACTGTATTCTTCTTTTTCAGATTGCCTTCAGGGTTATCTGCTGTTTGAGTGTCATTACAAAAGTCAGGTCTGCTCAGGATCATGTCAAATAATTTATCCCCATGTCCTCATTTTAACTCCCCATTGCTTCTTCTCAGCCCTGTGCTCTGGGTCCTCACCACACATCAGGTCATAGAAGCTGGGTGCCCCCTCACATTGCTTTCTTTCTTATTATGCATACCAGTGTTATGCAAACCCTACAGGAGTATCTTAGGTTATGCAGTTTTCCCATGACATTTAAAGGAACCCTAAGCCTCTTGTGGGAAGTAAGATAAGGCATCCTTAGAAAGTGTTATCTCTACAGTTTACTACATTGGGATTACTATTCACTCAACTAAATATGATTTCAAAAAGTTAATTGTATTTTCTAGATATCTTAAAAAGAAACCATACATTTTTAAAAACATGCTGCTTTAACTTTGTCTAGAATCTTACTCCCTGCCCCCAAATTTAACAGCTTAGCTTTTCCATTGCTTAAGTAAGTGCCTTGTATTTGAATAATACAGCTTAATCAGATTTTTGAAAGCTTTTATTACATCGTTTTAAAGTGGCATAAATAATGTAAAGTAAGCCTAATTTCACATTAGACACCTTCTATGGCGGCTTATGAAGCTCAAGTTTTTTTAGTTTTTTTTTTTTTTTTTTTTTTTAATTAAGGCGATTCCAGCAGTCATTTCTGACTCTGTGGCATCTTTCTGCAAATCCTGTCCACTTTACTGCTATACCGAGGTTCATTTGTGTCATTCAAATCTTTGCTCTTTAAATATCCACTTATAAATTTATTATGGCAATACATTCATATCTTTACATTTAATCTGAAACTTCGGTAACAAGCAGGAGATGGAATAAATGAGTAGCAGACACACTTGACAAAGTCAAAATGCTCTCCTGTCAGTGCCCATATGAACTATTACAATGACAGAAGAGCATTTTAATTTTGTCCAGTTCTTCTTTCTCCTTTTCACTCTGCATTTCTCCTTCTCCAGCTGGCTACGGAAACTTTGATAAAAGATCCAGACTTTAAATGCCCAATATCCTCAAAAAAATGTCAGAGAATGTTTTAAAATCATAGATTTTGAATGACACAGATGAACTTCACTTGCAGCACTGCTGCAGTGGGGAATTTATCATTTTGTTAATTAAGAAGGGTTTTCCAATAGTCACTCCAGAAATTGCCTCTGGAATATCATTAATTAACAATCTTACTTCCACCATGGGAGGGAGGAATGAGGCCGAGCAGCAAAACTCACAAAAGGACTAACTTAAAATACACACACACACACACACACACACGCATTTGAAAAGCACCAGACAAATCTGGAAAAGAGGAGGGGAATGAATTACTTAACACAAATATTATAGGATCAACAGAGCTAACAAAAAATCCAATTCATAGCATTTAAAGCTATCTTAGTTCACAGGCCTTATGCTAGTCCCGAAATAAAGTCAACAATTTAGAAACTCTATCTGAACTAAATAATTTACCATGTTGTTTGGAATTTAAGGGCTTTCCCCCCAACAATGACTGCTTCCTTTCTAGGGAAGAAGAAAACAAGTCTTTTTTCCCCCCAGTTTTCTTATTTGTTGAGTATCCAGGTAACAAACTACTTAAAATCAACCAAACAAAACTTGATAATTGGCCCTATCCCCATGTGAGCCACAGAAGGATGTAACCATGGCAACCTGTCATTTAGAACAGACCATCTCACGTACCTTTCAGAATTTAAGCATATGAGAACTTATCCATTCCCAAGTAGAATTATCATGCCGGGAACATTTTGTTCTTTATTGCAGAGGAAGTATAAAGCCAGACTCTTAAATTGTTCTCAACAAGGTGTTCAGGAGAAAAGGAGGTTCAGTAGCCACGAAAAGATGGAGATACATACACTAATCTAAAGTTCTTTCTGTTGAGGAGTAAACAAGAATAGACTTGAGGAAAGGGCAATCATTAAAGCCGTGGTGACTGTAGCAGAATAGCTTGGTGAAACCTAAGTTTTCAAAGTAAGAATCTTTTCCAATGAGGAAAACAGCAGCTGACTGACACAAACACAGACCCTCCTTGATTTTAAAGGAGTTTGATCTTCATAGTCACTTTTAGCACACCAGAAAGTATTATTTCCCTCACATTTTTGCTGGTTGTTTTTTTTTTTTTTTTTTTTTTTTTTTTTTGGCAATCAAGACCTACAATAAGACTTTACCTCTCTGGATTTCATAATACAGGAAACTTTTTTTTTTGTTACTTTTTTTTTGTTGTTGTTAGTATTTAGTGACAGGGCTCAAACTGGCTGGGAATGTTCTGATAGACTCTTAATCTTCAGGTGTCTCAAACTGAACATAAAAGAGTTTGAAAAGTATTTCTTATTGAGATGACCAAGTCGCTTTTCTTTAACCATCAAAATGGTAATCATGATTAAAATCTGTGATCAATTTTAATTGTAGCAATGAAATGACAACCAACTTCTCCATTTCCACTAGAAAAATTTTAGAGAGTAAGAACATAAAAAGAGAACCTAGTGTCGGAACATCTCAAATTGTAAGGCTAGCCAGAATGAAGTAAGTTTTGTTAGAGCCAGGTGTATTCTCTTTGTAGTCTCTACATCAAGGGGCTATAATGGGTGTCTGAAGAAAAATCACGGGTTGATTTTATCCTTTATATTTAACATGCTGTCAAATTTATATTTCCACATTACTGCAATATGGGGATCACTGGGAACTGTGACTAACACTTTTGTCTATGTACAATAGTGTGGCATCTATAATAATTCTCTAACTCCTATTCACATCAACAAATGTGTATTGAGAACATACTCTGTGAAAGATACGCTGAAAAGAGTGGTGGGGCATGCCAAGAAGCAGTAGGTGATTTACCTAGAAGCTAATGTAAATTTAGGGCTCTTCCCCTAAATGACTCCCTTGCAAGAACCTAGCAGGGATGCTAGCAGTTTTTAAATTCATAGTTATTATTTTCCATTAAAAACACTTCCACAATTGCATGATCTTTAGGCTCCACAAAATCTAAATGGGCTGCCCTATCATCTCCCACTAAAGTTTAGTGGAAGCATCTGAAAACTTAGCACCATTTTTCTGTTTGAAAGTGTTGCAAGAACCACAATGAGGAGCCAATTGACAATGCTGCTAGAAGTTTGGAGACTTAAGGGAGAGAAAGAACGTGACCTAGGCAGCACTGTAAATATTGTGATGAAACGTAATAATTTAATGAGGTCTGTTTTACCATTTTGGACATCTATATTTAAGATTATTTTTAATATGTGAAAGTTCTTAACATTAATTTAAACCATTTGGAATTTTTTTTGCTACCAAATATATGGAGTCTAAAGTAAAAGAATATAAGTGGAACAATATATAATTTGTCTAATACATAGACAAGTATAATGTATTTGTTGACAAAATACATTAGTATTTTATGTTGGGCAGTATGTACAAATTTTACGTACATCAAACTCATAATGAACCTATGAGATAGGTACCATGATTATTTCTGTTTCACAGAGGAACCTGAGGAATGGAGAGATTAAATAATTTTCTGATAATTATATGACTTGTAATCATTTAAAATCTCATCAGAAAAAAAACTGTTTAGCTATAATAAAAACAAGAACTCTTTCGGGATCTTGATTTGGAATTCTAAATCAGTAACACCTCCCTTGAAAGCAATTTAGCAATATCATTTTTTAACTAAAATTTTCATACCTTTGACCCCAAATTTTATTTCTAGGAGATTAACATAAAGAAATCATCTAAAATTAGACAAAGATGTATATATATAAATGTTCTCTTTAGCATCATGTATAGTAAGAAATAATGAGGAATTAAAATTAAAGATACGTTATTATATCGGAATGGTGAGCAAATATATATGTTAGAGTGAAATACAGCCATTACAAGTTTTGTTTTACATTTTGCCTAATATTATAATATAAAATCATTGAACATATAAAAATGCATATTTTTAAAAAGACTGGAAAAATATGTTAAAACGGTAATAATTGCTTGAGATTATGGCCATACAGGTGGGAAAGTTCTATATGCAGCTGAAGGTATGAAGTTGGAACTGGGTAGTAAGTAAGACGTATCTGAAACTCAATATAATGATGAAATCATGAAAATAATGATGAAAGTCAAAGTAAATCATTCAGGATTAGATGAGATGGTAGTATGCTTTTTTTTTTTCCAACGTTGTGAAGATTCCCTGGACTTTTGAAATCTTCTAAGTTTGTGTTGCATTTATAATAAAATGATTTTAAAATGGGGGATCGGCCGGGCGTGGTGGCTCATGCCTGTAATCCTGGCACTTTGGAAGGCCGAGGTGGGTGGATCACTTGAGATCAGGAGTTTGAGACAAGCCTGGCCAACATGGTAAAACCCCATCTCTACTAAAAATACAAAATTTAACCAGGGATGGTGGAGTGGCGCCTATAATCCCAGCTACTCGGGAGGCTAAGCAGGAGAATCACTTGAACTCCAGAGGTGGAGGTTGCAGTGAGATGAGATCGCACCACTGCACTCCAACCTGGGCAACAGAGTGAGACTCTGCCTCAAAATAAACAAATAAATAACAACAAATGAGGGCATTGAAAACTGAAGATGTTGAAGAAGGATTTCAGGTTCTTAAAATATCAATGAGATTCATATGAGAAAAGAGGGTGAGGGCAATCCAGGGCCAGTAGCAGAATGAGTAAAAGCTTGCAGTAGCAAATGTGCAAGTTGCATCTGTGAGCAAATGTCCGAATTTCATGAAATTCAGGATTCCCTATATAAAGATAGAAAATAAATTTTATCTATTTGTGTAAATCCAATTATTGTGGCATTTTATGCCATCTTTGGAGTCTAAATCTTATCCAGTAATAATCATGGGTCCATATAGGCTTTTGAGCCAAAGACTAGCATGTAAAACCGGCCTTGCAGGAAGATAGATGGAGTAGCAGTAGGTAGAAGACACAGGAGCCATAGAAGACTGAGAGAAGTAGCACTCTGCCATAGTTTTCAACACATATGATGATTAATTTTGAAACTACAGTAGTTAATGCATGATGTTGAATGTACAGCCCACCATCATGGTCTGGCAAAGAATGTAAGACTCCAGAGAAACAACTGGATTTGATGCAAATAAATGTATGAAATGAAAATGATGAAAGAAGAATAAGCATTTTGGAGACTCTGAGTTCCAGTGAATTGAATGGTATCATCTACTTTTAAAATAAATAAATAAATAAATAAATAAATAAATAAATAAATAAAGGCAGCGGAGAGAGAGAGAGAGAGAGAAAGTCACAGCTTATTTGAGATGAAAATGATCTCAAATTTTAATATGTTTAGTTTGAGGAGATAGTGCACAAAGGGAGTAAGTCCCAAAAGCAGCTGAGATATATAGAATTTTGAAGCTGGGGTAAACGAAACAAAAGTTTCTCTTATGACTCAAACGAACTCGCTGAGCCAGGAAAAGGAGAAAAAACAAAAAAAAACAATCAACTTTGCCTGGTACCATCAGAGGGTGTTAGCAGTTACTCATTTTAAGTGTCACTTTGCAAACAGACTTAAACCAACCTTTTGGAACCTAACCAAAGCATAAATAGAAGAAGTTCTGTAAAGAGGAGGGCTATCAACATGGAAGTGAAAGTCAAAACCATGAGTCACAGTTGATTCAGGGAAAGCATACAAAAGAGAAAGAGAAATGGCCAAGAATTAAACTCTGGGAACATTCACAGATAAGAAAAATATAAGGAAGAATTTAATTTCAAAATACAGTTTCTTTAACTACCCAAAACTCAGAGACATGAGGCCAAATTTGGTCAGATCAAATGTGGAAAACCCACACTGAAACACTGGAAAGAAAAAGCCGGAGAAAAACCAAAACAAATCTTTTAAATCAGAATTTGGAGTACGTTGTTTACTGGAAATCAAGAAACTCTCAAAATCAACCAGTATATGACTGTATGTCACAGAAGAAATTTATTACTAAAACAAAAATTCTCTGGGGAAAATAAAAAGCAGATACATTTTAGTTTCAAATTCAATTACAAAGATATTAAGACTAAAAAATATATTTACCTGTGGAGTAGCCCAATTAGCTGAATTAACCTGTAATATTAAATTTGAAATGATTATATTTTTCTTCAAAAATCACATATGTAAATAAAAATACATTAAAAATAATAAATAAGTCCAAAGTTTAAATGCTTTTATATGTATTTTTTTCAGATGGTAAATATAGTGAACTGCTTTCTCTGTAAATGTTCCTCCTCTATCCATCATGTCAGAAAGATCCACTATACTCTTTCTCATAGACTCTCACATTTATGGATTCTCAAGAACAATTTCACTTTCACTGGAATTAAAGCAAGTATGTTCTTTTTCCTGATGGCCAAATCCCAAGAGATTTAGTTAAATTGAAGTTGGGCAAAGGTACTAAGTCTCAAGAGCACTTATTGGGAATCTGTGGGTGTGTCTTGTCACCAGGGTTACAGTAAAACATGTTTCCAAGCTTGGAGGTAAGCAAAAGTGGCTCTAAAAACAATTATAAGTTTTAAACTTGCTTTAATGTGGTAACCAAAAAGAGTAAGGCTACTTTAACGTATTTTTATTTGAATTTAACAATTGCCCACATTTTTCTGTACTTTTTTCAAATCATATTTTCAAGAAATAAAGCAATGAAGATAAATTTAAAGTCCTTCATATCTACCTCCACCCCACTTTCACTCTTTTCCTCCCTAAAGGCAAACTTCAGAAACTAAATAAATATTCAGCCTCACCAGTAACCAGGGAAGTACAAATTAAAACCATGAGATACCATTTCACATGCATCAGATTGCCCAGCATTTATAAAGCCTGACAATGTCAGGCTCTGGTGAGTCTGTGAGAAAACAGGGATCCTCTATCCATATGATGGGAATATAAACTTGGAACTATCACTTTGGGGATAAATTTGCCAGTATCTTGTAAATGTAGAATGTGTTTACTCAATGGCAGGGCAATTCCACAGATAGATTGAGAAAATATTCTTTCCTTCTTCTGGGCATATAGAAGGATTAAACTCCTAGTCCCCATGTCTTTGGGTGGGACTAGTTCTAGCCAATAATTTACAGTCAAACAATGTTGTCATGTGTTGCTGGATATGTAATTGCCAGTGTAAGACTCTCAAGCTCCATCTTGCCTTGTGAAGATGATCTTGGAAGCATATGCTAATGTGTAGGGGACACAAAATCAAGTCAGCCTCAGAATGCTGAGCCACATACATGGTCAGGAGCTGTCCTCAAGGATCATCTGAACCTGTTAACAGATTTTATGTGAGAAAGATAAAAAATTTCTCTTGTGTTAGGCCACTGAGGTTTGGAGGTTGCTTCCTATGGCAGCAAAACTAGCTTATCCCAGCAAATACATAAATTTACACACCAGACAAAAATTCTTACTCATATACACAAGAAGACACAGGCACAAATGCATCCTTTATAATAAAAGAAAATTGAAGAATGTTTCAGTTTATGAGTAGTGCAGTTAATTGTGGTATACTTTTATGTTTTCAACCAAAAACATAAAATAATTTATGTGTATATGGATTAATCCTGAAACAAATTTTTGAGACAAACAAGTTGACATATGATATGCACAATACAGTAATGCTAGAAAATAAGCTCTATTAGCACAGGATATTGTTTCAGTAACTACCATATTCCCACTGTTTAGAACAGTTCCTGGCAGGTGACAGCAATAACTCAATAAATATCTTTTAAGTGAATAAATTATTATTTTGCAATGTTTAGAAATGTAGTATATACTATATAATACCTAGGGATCATATATGTAATAAACATTTATGAAACATGCTGGAACTTCATTTTATTAGTTCATTTTAAGTCCCACAGAGTAATTATAAGGGTAACTCCATTGACTTGTAAACCCCAAATTAAGCTTTCCTTGTATTAGGACATTCTGATTTGACATTTGCTGTTGACATTACTTCAGAGCCAGTCTCCTCACTAGTAAAGGACTGAAACAGTATCTACTGCACAATATTCTTGTGAGGATGAAATTAGATGGTATGATCAGAGTGCTCAGAACAGAGAGTAGCATAAGTAGGCAATCAATAACTATTAGCAACTATTATTGTTGTTGTTGTTGCTGTTGTTGTTATGGCTACCATTATTTCTTATCTGGCTTTAAACTATAGATCACTTTATTTTATACTTTTTTAGTATTTGCATAATGATGTAAAATACCTGCAGGAATTAACGAATCAAATGTCCTCTTATATTGCCAGCTTCTTGGCGATATACTAGGTTTGTAAGTAAACTATTTCAACATCTAAACTTTTATACTAACAAGGAGTTCAATATTATACCTAAATTTGTGAAACTAAAATATAGAAGAAAAAAAAACTAACCAGGTTTAGGAGAGAAGTTTGAGATGTTGGCCTCCTTTTTTCTGAAGTTTCTCAATTGTATTTCCTACTATAAAGCCAGATTGAAAAAATGATTGTGAATGTGTATGTGTGTGTGTTATACCAAATAGATATTGCCATTAGCTATTTGAAGCTTACAGGTTAAATTATAATTGAGTATGTAGAAGTTCAAAATTCAAAGCTATTTTCTCCACTGATGAGAGTGAACTTTTGTTTGGGATTGTACCCTTAAGAGCAGCAAATGAAAAAATTAATGGCCCTCTAATTAAAAAAAATCAAAAGATAATAGATGTTGGCATGGATGTGACGAAAAAAGAACTCTTTTACACTGCTGGTAGGAATGTAAACTAGTACAACCACTATGGCAAACAGTATGGAGATTCCTTAAAGAACTAAAAGTACAACTACCATTCGATTCAGCAATCTCACTACTGGGAATCTACCCAAAGGAAAAGAAGTCATTATACAAAAAAGACACATGCACACGCGTGTTTATAGCAGCACAATTCCCATTTGCAAAAATATGGAACCAATTTAAATGCCCATCAACCAACAAGTGGATAAAGATAATGTGGTATATATACACCATGGAATACTACTCAGCCGTAAAATGGAATGAAATAATGTCTTTTGCAGCAACTTGGATGTTGGAGGCCATTACTCTAAGTGAAGTAACTCAGGAGTGCAAAAACCAAACATAATATGTTTTCATTTATAAGTACAGATAAGATATGCTGATGCAAAGGCAAAAGAATAATATAATGAACTTTGGGTACTCAGGGGGAAAGATGGGATGGGGGCTAAGGGATAAAAGACTACATATTGGATACAGTGTACACTGTTTGTGTGACAGGTACACCAAAATCTCAGAAATCACCGCTAAAGAACGTATCCCTGTAACCAAAAACTACCTGTTCCCTAAAAACTATTGAAATAAAATAAAATGATTTAAAAAAATTAATGGCCCTCATTGTCCTTACCAAACTTTCTGAGCCCTGGAATGCCACCTAAATAGAATTCCTTTCACTAACCCTTCACAGTCTTTGTATTTCTCACTGACAATCACTTAGAATTCTAATATACAGATAAATTACACTGGCCAGATTTAATCTTTTTTAATTTTAATAAGATTAAATGTGAATTCCTACATTGCCTTTTAAAAAAGATGCAAACATTGGTAGACATCTGCTCACCATATATTTAACTTCTCTTTAGACAGTGTTCATTTTGGAGACACACATTTGTGAGAAAGTGATAGTGGGTGTCCAAAACAAGCATCAATTTACAACATCCTACTTTAAATGGACATGATGGTTTTACTGTTTCACATGGAACAACTTTTTTGACTACTCTGTCTGTGCCTGAAGGAAATATAAATTATAAAAAAGGCTGAGTGACTCCCAAAAATCAGGCAAAGTTTACCTTATTGCCAAAGTTTAGCATGAAAACAAGTCACATAAATGCATTCTATGTCTATTGTATAATTTCACTTTTCTTTTAACATATCTTTCTATGGTAATACCAATAATTAATAAACATGTTTGTTGAAAATAATGTAGTCAATATTAGGGATTTTTAATTTTCAGAAAGTAAACACTGCTTTGCCACTAAACTTTATCCTTGGAGAATTTTTTATCTTGTTGGTTTTAATAGAAATAAAAACTCATTAACAGAAGATTTTTTACCCAAACCATTACAACTTCATCACTTTAAATCACAGCTCATTAAAACAATTATAATCAAATGTTTCAATTTTTTTCCCTTGTGTGAAACAGCTGAAAAGGTTATGTTTGTTTTTCTTTATCTAAATCTCTGGAGTGACATAAACAGGCTATATAGATCTATATGCTGTTTTTCATTTATATTTCAGTGTGTCTCTGATGCTAGTTTGAGTTAATTTATATTTATTTTAACATTATTTCTATAGAATTTGAAGACACTTAATACCATCCTCTCAAAATTCAAATATTGGCAGGTGATTGCTTAATGAAATTCGGTTACATTTCCCTGCAGGTGGACTCTATTTTGGACATCTCCAAATTTAAAAGAAGATAAATTCTTAATGGTTATTTTGCCTTCTTTTATATTTTGAAGTACAACACAACATACAGTGTTATCTGAGCAACCCTGGACCACCAAAAACAAAAACAAAAAACAAACAAACAATAAAACACCCTAGCTACAGGTATGCAGAGCTCAATACAGCTACATATTTTCTGTTTTAAGAGCTGTGGGGAATGAATTGAAATGTTCTGGTCTCTCATTGTTTTAGCTTGTTGTTTTTATTAATTTTCATACTAAATACATATAAATTAAATATGAGTCAATATGTAAGATTTCATTCAAATTGACCCACCCAGTTATCTGAATACCAAGATACCTACCACCAGAAAGACATTTTAAGCAGAAGCTTGGAATCTGCTGCAACTTCCCATATCAATGCTATTCCATATAACATGCCATATTTTCAGGATCACCTTCCCTTTATTAACCATTGCAATAATATATATAATTGATGTTTTCGTCAACAGTTAGTAGCAACTGCACAATTACCAACTTAAGTTGACAAAATTCTAGATGTACAACTAAATATTTTACATCACAACCCAGATAGCATAGGCAAATCTTTTGTATATGTAAATCAGATTATCATTTAGAAAATATTAATAAAGTCATTATTCCATGTAGAGCACTGTCCAAAGTGCTATGAAAACATATGACAAGATAAGGTCAACTTCCTGAAGTTCACATCACAATTTTTAAAGAATATTGCATGTACATATCAAAAAGATAACATATCATGATCAAGATAGTTTCATACCAGGGATACAGGGTTGGTTTAACATATGCAGGTCAATAAATGTGACACATCATGTAAACAAAATTAAAAACAAAAACCATATGATCATCTCAATAGATGCAGGAAAAGCATTTGACAAAATCCAGCATCTCTTTATGATAAAAACCCTCAACAAAATAGGCAGACAAGGGACTTACCTCAAACTAATAAAAGCCATCTATGATAAACCCACAGTCAACATCATATTGAATGGAGAAAAGTTGAATGCATTCCCCCTGAGAACTGGAACAAGACAAGGATGCCCATTTTCACCACTTTTATGCAACATAGTACTGAAAGTCATGGCCAGTGCAATCAGGCAAGAGAAAGAAACAAAGGACATTCAAATTGGAAAAGGGGAAGTCAAACTATTGCCAGTGATATGATTGTATACCTAGAAAATACTAAAAACTAATCCCAAAAGCTCCTAGATCTGATTAACAAATTCAGTACAGCCTCAGGATGCAACATTAACATACAAAAATGAGTACCACTGCTATACACCAAAAATAAACAAGCTGAGAATCAAATCAAGAACTCAATCCCTTTTACAACAGCTGAAAATAAATAATATTCTTAGGAATATACTTAACCAAGGAACTGAAAGATCTCTACAGGGAAAACTGTAAAACACTGCTGAAAGAAATCATAGATGACACAAACAAATGGGAACACCTCCCATGCACATGGGTGGGAAGAATCAATACTGTGAAAATGACCATAGTGCCCAAAGCAATCCACAGATTTAATGCAATTCCCATCAAAATGCTATCATCATTTTCCACAGAACTAGAAAAACAATCCTAAAATTCATATGGAACCAAAAAAGAGCCTGGATAGCCAAAGCAATACTAAGCAAAAAGAACAAATTTGGAGACATCACATTACCCGACTTAAAATTATACTGCAAGGCTATAGTTACCAAAACAGCATGGTGCTCGAATAAAAATAGGCACTTAGACTAGAAAACTCAGAAACAAAGCCAAATACTTACAGCCAACTGGTCTTCGACAAAGCATACAAAAATGTAAATTAAGAAAGGACATCTTATTCAATAAATGGTGCTGGGAAAACTGGCAAGCTACATGTAGAAGAATGAAACTGGATCCTCATCTCTTACCTTATACAAAAATCAACTCCAGGTAGATCGAAGACTTACATCTCAGACCTGAAACTATAAAAATTCTAGAAAATAACATCGTAAAAACTCTTCTAGAAATTGGCTTAGGCAAAGAATTCACGACGAAGACCCAAAAGCAAATGCAACAAAAATAGAAATAAATAAATAAGACCTAACTAAATTTAAAAGCTTCTGCACAGCAAAAGAAATAATCAGCAGAGTAAACAGACAACCCACAGAGTGGGAGAAAATATTTGCAAACTATGCATCCAACAAAGGACTAATATCTGGAATCCTCAAGGAATTCAAACAAATCAGCAATAAAAGAAAAATTTAAAAAGGAAACAAATAGTCCATCGAAAAGTAGGCAAGGGACATGAACGGACATTCTCAAAAGAAGATATATAAAGAACCGACAAACATATGAAAAAATGCCCAACATCAATAATCATCAGGAAAATGCAGATTAAAACCACAATAAAATACCACCTTACTCCTGCAAGAATGGCCATAATTAAAAACTCAGAAACCAGAGATATTGGTGTGGATGTAATGAAAAGGGAACACTTACACTGCTGGTGGGAATAACTAGTACAACCAGTATGGCAAACAGTATGGAGATTTCTTAAAGAACCAAAAGTAGAACTACCATTTGATCCAGCAGTCCCACTACTGGGTATCTACCCAAAGGAAAAGAAGTCATTATATGAAAAAGACACATGCATATGCGTGTTTATAGCAGCACAGTTCCCAATTATAAAAATATAGAACCAACCTAAAAGCCCATCAACCAATAAATGGATGAAGAAAATGTGGCATATATACCATGGAATACTACTCAGTCATAAAATGGAATGAAATAATGGCACTCGCAGCAAACTGGATGGAGTTAGAGACCATTATTCTAAGTGAAGTAACTTGGGAATGAAAAACCAAGTATTGTATGTTCTCATTTATAAGTGGGAGCTATGCTATAAAAACACAAAGGCATAAGAATGATATAATGGACTCCAGCAACTCAGAGGGAAGTGTGGGAGGTGGGTGAGGGATAAAACACTATACTTTGGGTACAGTGTATACTGCTCAGGTGATGGGTACACTAAAATCATAGAAATCACCACTAAAGAACTTATCCATGCGACCAAAAACCACCTGTACCCCCCAAAATTACTGAAATAAGGATAAAAATTTAAAAATATATTGCATGCACAATTATACCTCTTTTTATCATCAGTTTTTTCCTGGTGACTTAGGTTACAGATATTATATCTTATACATCCAAAAATTAAGACAAGTAAAATTTTGATATGTAGACCAAAAGATGTTTTTATCTGACATTTTCCTTAAAGTGTATTCCATTCAATTGAGTGACAATGTAAGGAGTCAAATATAGGGCAGATTAAGTGAACAAAAGTTCTAAATCAGTGTTATGCACTAGGTCCACCTTCCTTTTTAAGTTTCAAATCATGAAAAAATAAAAGAAGGTTATATTATACGATGCTGAAGGATTTGAACTGAATTTTTTTTGACTTGAATGCAATAAATTTCTTTCTAATGTGCTATGTTTTAAATATTCAATAAAAACACTAAATGATTTCTCATGATATAATTTCAAATCCTTGACATTTAAAAGGATGTTAAGGAAGTCTACTTCTGTCCAATCAGTGCTTTTTTTTGCCATGAAACATACAATATTGCCACAGGTTTCTTTCTAAGGATGGCAGGATTCAAATGGACGGTGTAAGTTAGTTGAGTTTAATTTTACATAATCCATTTTTCTATTACTTTTTGTATCAATATATATGGCTGTCATCATTTAGGTAACCAAAAAGTCCAAAGACCTCATACAAAGATTTTTATTCTTCTTGGTTTTAATATGGCAGATTTATTGTTAAATTAGTCTATGATCAGGATTATATGTAAGTGGTCATTGATTATAAGACCAAGATCTACTTAACTGTTGAAAAAATAAAATTAATCCTCATTCATTTTGATAATATATGTAAATGTCCATTGCAAAGTTTACATAAATATTTACTTCAATGATATGGAGAAGAAAAAAGATGTACAAAAATATAATGAGAGCTGGAAGAAAGAGCTTCATCATACGAATTTAAAATGAGGTTCATAAGGCAAATAACTTGCCAAAGGGTAAGTTACAGATGTGGGACCCGAACTCACTCCACATTCCAGTTAGCCTGACTGTGTATAACAAATGACTGCAAAACTTAGTGACTTCACATCCACTGTGAGTACTGTTATCAAAAACAGATGTAATACAAAAATACATATAAGTGTTGTTTGGGATGTAAAGAAGTTGGAACCTGAAAACATCATTGGTCGGAATGTGAAACGGTATAGTAACTTTGGAAAATAGCTTGGCAGTTCATCAAAAATTTACACACAGAGTTCTCCTATGACCCAACAATTCTACTCCTAGGTATACACCCAAAATAATTGAAAACATATGCTCATACAAAAACTTGTACATGAATCTTTATAGCAGCATTATTAATAATAGCTAAAAAGTGAAAACAATCCAAATTTCCATCAACTGATAAATGTATAAACAAATGTTGTGCATCCATATAACGAAATATTACTCAGCCATAAAAATGACTAAAATAACAAAACCTGCTACATTAGCCTTGAAAACATTATGCTAAGTGAAAGAAGCTAGATACAAATGGCCACATATTGTATGATTCCATTTACATAAAATGACCAGAATAGACAAATTCATTGAGAGATAAAATAGATTGTTTTCTAGGGAATGAGAGGAAGAAGGAATGGGTAGTTACTGCTGATGGATATGGGACTTCTTTTTCAGGTGATGAAAATATTCTGGAATTAGACAGTAGTGATAACTGTAAAACCTTGTGAATATACCAAAAATCACTGACTTATACACTTTAAAATGATGAATTTTATGGCATGTGTATTACACGTTAATATAATCAATATAATGCAATCAAATTAAAAATCTGAATAAAAACTAATTTTTAAAATGTCTTAACCAGGATTTCCCGGGCAAGATGGCTGAATAGGAACAGCTCCTGTATGCAGCTCCCAGCAAGACCAACGCAGAAGGTGGGTGATTTCTGCATTTCTAACTGAGGTACACAGTTCATCTCATACAGACTGGTTACACTGTGGGTGCAGCCCACAGAGGGCAAGCAGAAGCAGGGTAGGGCATTGCCTTACCCAGGAAGAGCAAAGTGTCAGGGAACTCCCTCCCCTGGCATTTCCTTCCAAGAAAAAGATGTGAGGGAAAGTTTCCTTTGCCTCCAAGGAAAGATGTAAGGGACCTTGCAGTGAGGGGTGGTGCTATCTGGCCCAGATACTATGCTTTTCCCATGGTCTTCGCAACCCACAGACCAGGAGATTCCTTTGGGTGCCTACACCACAAGGGCCCTGGGTTTCAAGCACAAAACTGGGCAGCCATTTGGGCAGACATCGAGCTAGCTACAAGAGGTTTCTTTCATACCCCAGGGGCACCTGGAATGCCAGCTAGGCAGAAACGTTCACTCTCCTGGAAAAGGGGCTGAAGCAAGGGAGCTAAGTGGTCTTGCTCAGCAGATCCTACCCCCACAGAGTCCAGCAAGCTAAGATCCACTGGCTTGAAATTCTCGCTGCCAGCATAGCACTCTGAAGTCGACCTGGAACACTTGAGCTTGGTGGGGGTAGAGGTATCTGCCATTACTGAGACTTGAGTATGCGGTTTTCCCCTCACAGTGTAAACAAATCCGCTTGGAAGTTTGGACTAGGCAGAGCCCGCTGCAGTGGCACAAAGCTGCTGTAGCCAGATTGCCTCTCTAGATTCCTCCTGTCTAGGCAGGGCATCTCCAAAAGAAAGGCAGAAGCCCCAGTTAGGGGCTTATAGATAAAACTCCCATCTCCCTGGGACAGAGCACCTAGGGGAAGGGGCGGCCATGGGCACAGCTTCAGCAGACTTAAACGTTCCTGCCTACTGGCTCTGAAAACAGCAGTGGATCTCCCAGCACAGCGCTTGAACTCTACTAAGGAACAGTCTGCCTCCTCAAGTGGGTCCCTGACCCTCATGCCTCCTGATGGGGGGACACCTCCCAGGAGGTTTCAACAGACACTTCATACAGGAGAGCTCTGGCTGGCATCTGACGGGTGCCCCTCTTGGACAAAGCTTCCAAAGGAAGGAGCAGGCAGCAATCTTTGCTGTTCTGCAGCTTCTGCTGGTGATACACAGGCAAACAGGGTCTGGAGTGGACTCTCAGCAAACTCCAGCAGAGCTGCAGAAGAGGGGCCTGACTGTTAGAAGGAAAACTAGCAAACAAAAAGGAATAGCATCAACATCAACAAAAAAGATGACCACACAAAAACTCCATCCAAAGATCACCAACAGCAAAGACCAAAGCCAGATAAATTCACAAAGATGAGGACAAAACAGCACAAAAGGGCTGAAAATTCCAAAAACCAGAATGCCTCTTCTCCTCCAAGGGATCACAACTCCTCACCAGCAAGGGAACAAAACTGGATGGAGAATGAGTTTGGTGAATTGATAGAAGTAGGCTTCACAAGGTGAGTAAGAACAAACACCTCCAAGCTAAAGGAGCGTGTTCTAACCCAATGTAAGGAAGCTAAGAACATTGATAAAAGGTTAGAGAAATTGCTAACTAGAATAACCAGTTTAGAGAAGAACATAAATGACCTGATGGAGCTGAAAAACACAGCACGAGAACTTCGTGAAGCATCCACAAGTATCAATAGCCAAATCGATCAAGTAGAAGAAAGGATATCAGAGGTTGAAGATCAACTTAATGAAATAAAGCATGAAGACAAGATTAGAGAAAAAAGAATGAAAAGGAATGAACAAAGCCTCCAAGAAATATGGGACTATTTGAAAAGACCAAATCTACATTTGATTAGTGTACCTGAAAGTGACAGGGAGAACGGAACCAAGTTGGAAAACACACTTCAGGATATTATCCAGGAGAACTTCCCCAGCCTAGCAAGACAGGCCAACATTAAAATTCAGAAAATATAGAGAACACCACAAAGACATTCCTCGAGAAGGGCAACCCCAAAACATATACTGGTCAGAATCACCAAGGTTGAAACGAAGGAAAAAATGTTAAGGGCAGCCAGAAAGAAAGGTCAAGTTACCCACAAAGGGAAGCCCATCAGAATAACAGCAGATCTCTCTGCAGAAACCCTACAAGCCAGAAGAGAGTGGGGGCCAATATTCAACATTCTTAAAGAAAAGAATTTTCAACCCAGAATTTCATATCCAAACAAACTAAACTTCATAAGTGAAGCAGAAATAAAATCCTTTACAGACAAGCAAATGCTGAGAGATTTTGTCACCATCAGGCCTGCCTTACAAGAGCTCCTGAAGGAAGCACAAAATATGGAAAGGAAAAACTGGTACCAGCCACTGCAAATACATACCAAATTGTAAAGACCATCAACACTATGAAGAAACTGCATCAACTAATGGGCAAAATAATCAGCTATCATTATGACAGGATCAAATTCACACATAACAATATTAACCTTAAATGTAAATGGGTAAAATGTCCCAATTAAAAGGCACAGACCAGCAAATTGGATAAAGGCTCAAGACTCATTGGTATGCTGTAATCGGGAGACCTATCTCACGTGCAAAGACACACACAGGCTCAAAATAAAGGGACAGAGGAATATTTAGCAAGCAAATGGAAAGCAAAAAAAAAAAAAAAAAAAGCAGGGTATGCAATCCTAGTCTCTGATAAAACAGACTTTAAATGAACAAATATCAACAAAGAAAAAAAGGGCATTACATAATGGTGAAGGGATCAATTCAATGAGAAGAGCTAACTATCCTAAATATATATGCACCCAATACAGGAGCACCCAGATTAATAAAGCAAGTTCTTAGAGACCTACAAAGAGACTTAGACTCCCATATAATAATAGTGGAAAACTTTAACACCCCACTGTCAATATTAGACAGATCAATGTGACAGAAAATTAACAAGGATATTCAGGACTTGAACTCAGCTCTGGACCAAGTGGACCTAAGAGAAATCTACAGAACTCTCCACCCCAAATCAACAGAATATACATTCCTTTCAGCACCACATAGCACCTGTTCTAAAATCAACCACATAATTGGAAGTAAAACACTCCTCAGTAAACACAAAAGAGCAGAAATCATAACAGTCTCTCAGACCATGGTGAAATCAAATTAGGATTAATAAAGTCACTCAAAACCACACAACTACATGGAAACTGAACAACCTGCTCCTGAATGACTACTGGGTAAAAAAGAAATTAAGGCAGAAATAAATAAGTTCTTTGAAACCAATGAGAACAAAGACACAATGTAGCAGAATCTCTGGGACACAGCTAAAGCAGTGTTTAGAGGGAAATTTATAGCACTAAATGCCCATAGGTGAAAGCTGGAAAGATCTAATATTGACACCCTAACATCACAATTAAAAGAACTAGAGAAGCAAGAGCAAACAATTTCAAAAGCTAACAGAAGATGAGAAATAACTAAGATCAAAGCAGAACTGAAGGAGATAGGGACAGGAAAAATTCTTCAAAAATCAATGAATCCAGGAGCTGATTTTTTGAAAAGATTAACAAAATGGACCGCTAGCCAGACTAATAAAGAATAAATGAGAGAAGAATCAAATAAACACAATAAAAATGATAAAGGGGAGATCACCACTTATCCCACAGAAATACAAACTACCATCAGAGAATACTATAAACACCTATACACAAATGAACTAGAAAGTCTAGAACAAATGGATAAATTCCTAGACACATACATCCTCCCGAGACTAAACCAGGAAGAAGGAGAATCCCTGAATAGACCAATAACAACTTCTGAAATTGAAGCAGTAATGGCCTTCCAACCAAAAAAAGCCCAGGACCAGACGGATTCACAGCCAAGTTCTACCAGAGCTACAAAGAGGAGTTGGTACCATTCCTTCTGAAAATATTCCAAACAATGGAAAAAGAGGGAATCCTCCCTAACTCATTTTATGAGGCCAGCATCATCCCGATAACAAAACGTGGCAGACACACAACAAAAAAAGAAACTTTCAGGCCAATATCCCTGATGAACATTAATGCGAAAACCCTGAATAAAATACTGGCAAACCGAAGCCAGCAGCACATTAAAAAGTTTACCCACCATGAACAAGTCGGCTTCATCCCTGGGATACAAGGCTGGGTAAACATACACAAATCAATAAATGAAATCCATCACATAAACAGAACCAATGACAAAAACTACCGATTATCTCAATAGACACAGAAAAGGCCTTTGATAAAATTCAACAGCACTTTATGCTAAAAACTCTCAATAAACTAGGTATTGATGGAACATATCTCAAAATAATAAGAGCTGTTTATGAAAAACCCAAAGCCAATATCATACTGAATTGTCAAAAGCTGGAAGCATTCCCTTTAAAAGTGGCACAAGACAAGGATGCCATCTCTCACAACTCCTATTCAACATAGTACTGGAAGTCCTGGCCAGGACAATCAGGCAAGAGAAAGAAATAAAGCGTATTCAAATAGAAAGAGAGGAAGTCAAATTATCTCTGTTTGCAGATGACATGATTGTATACTTAGAAAATCCCATCATCTCAGCCCAAAAAATCCTTAAGCTGTTAAGCAACTTAGGAAAGTCTCAGGATACAAAATCAATCTGCAAAAATTACAAGCATTCCTATACACCAATAATAGACAAGCAGATAGCCAAATAATGAGCAAACTCCCATTCACAACTGCTACAAAGACAATAAAATACCTAGGAATACAACTTACAAGGGATGTGAAGGACCTCTTCAAGAAGAACTACAAACCACTGCTCAAGGAAATAAGAGAGGACACAAACAAATGGAAAAACATTCCATGCTCTTGGTTAGGAAGAATAATATCATGAAAATGGCCATACTCCCCAAAGTAATTTATAGATTCAATGCTATTCCCATCAAGCTACCATTGACTCTCTTCGCAGAATTAGAAAAAACTACTTTAAATTTCATATGGAACCAAAAATGAGACCATATAGCCAAGAAAATCCAAAGCAACAAGAACAAAGCGGGAGGCATCACACTACCTGACTTCAAACTATAATGTAAAGCTACAGTAACAAAAACAGCATGGTACTGGTACCAAAACAGATATATAGACCAGTGGAAAAGAACAGAGGCCTCAGAAATAACACCACACATCTACAACCATCTGATCTTTGACCAACCTGACAAAAACAAGCAATGGGGAAAGGATTTCCTATTTAATAAATGGTGTTGGGAAAACTGGCTAAACATACACAGAAAATGGAAACTAGACCCCTTCCTTACACCTTATACAAAAATTAACTCAAGATGGATTAAAGGTTTAAACATAAAACCTAAAACCATGAAGACCCTACAAGAAAACCTAAGCAATACTATTCAGGACATAGGCGTAAGAAAAGACTTCATGACTAAAACACCAAAAGCAATGGCAACAAAAGCCAAAATTGACAAATGGGATCTCATTAGACTAAAGAGCTTCTGCAGAGCAAAAGAAACTATTATCAGAGTGAATAGGCAACCTACAGGATGGGAGAAAATTTTTGCAATCTATCCATCTGACAAAGGGCTAATATCCAGAATCTCCAAGGAACTTAAACAAGTTTACAAGAAAAAAACAAACAACCACGTCAAAAAGTGGGCAAAGGCTATGAACAGACACTTTTCAAAAGAAGACATTTATGCAGCCAACAAGCATATGAAAAAAAGCTCACCATCACTGGTCATTAGAGAAATGCAAATCAAAACCACAATGAGATACCATCTCATGCCTGTCAGAATGACGATCATTAAAAAGTCAGGAAAAAACAGATGCTGGAGAGGATGTGGAGAAATAGGAACACTTTTACACTGTTGGTGGGACTTTAAACTAGTTCAACCATCGCGGAAGGCAGTGTGGCGATTCATCAAGGATCTAGAACTAGAAATATCATTTGACCCAGCAATCCCATTACTGGGTATATACCCAAAGGATTATAAATCATTCTACTATAAAGACACATGCACACATATGTTTATTGCAGCACTAATCACAACAGCAAAGACTCAGAACCAACCCAAATGCCCATCAATGTTAGACTGGATAAAGAAAATGTGGCAAATATACACCATGAAACACTATGCAGCCATAAAAAAGAATGAGTTCACGTCTTTTGCAGGGACATGGATGAAGCTGGAAACCATCATTCTCAGCAAACTAACACAGGAACAGAAAAACAAACACTGCATGTTCTCACTCATAACTGGGAGTGGAACAATGAGAACACATAGGCACAGAGAGGGGAACATCACACACCGGGTCCTGTTGGGAGGTTGGGGGAAAGAAGAGGGATAGCATTAGGAGAAATACCTAATGTAGATGACAGGTTGATGGGTGCAGCAAACCAACATGGCACATGCATACCTATGTAACAAACCTGCACGTTCTGCACATGTATCCCAGAACTTAAAGTATAATCTTAAAAAAAAAAGAAAAATGACTTAACAATTATGTTTATTTTCCTCATGAAACTGCAGTCTTATCAGGACTTTGTGGGAACTCGAGGCTGGCTCAAAGGCTGAGATATTGAATTATCTGGAGGCTTACTCACTCATCTCTAGTGCCTGGACTGAAACTTGAACAGCTGGGGGCTGATCTCGAATTATCCAGAGGCTTACTCACTCATGTCTAGTGCCTGGGCTGAAAGTTGAACAGCTCGCGGCTGTAACAGCTGAGGCTTTTTGGTCTGTACAGTGGCTTCAAGGAGTCCATACTTCCTACATGGTAATTCTGGCTTCTTTGTCATGTGTCCTGAGGGAAAAACAGAAGCCATATGCCCTTTTATGAACTAGCCTCCAAAGTCACACTGCATTACTTTTGTCATGTTCTCTTAGTAGAGGCAGTTGCTACACTGAATGGCCTAGGTTCAAGGGATGGGGACATAGAACCCACCTCCCAGTGGAAAAGAATCACTGTCACATTGTAAGAAAAGCATGTGGAATGGGATATGTACTTGGAGAACTATGTTTGGAAAATAAAATCTACCACACCATACTAACTGGTTATTACAAGAAATCTAAATTTACCATATTAATATTTGCTCATATTTTGGAGAGAGCATATGATAATATAGAAATAACAAAGGTATCAATTGGGCAGAAAAGAGCAAACAAAATATTAGATACTTTTAACTGACTTTTGACGATGTCAACAAAATAATTCCTGCTTCTCTCTGGAATATTCCACTCTATGGCTAATACGCTACACAACTCACTTGGCACTAGTTTCTAAAATTACTTGATGAGAGAACAAGTATTTAGTTATTCCCCAGTTTCACATTACATTTTTAATTTAATTTAGGTCACTAAACTGTTACTTTTGGAACAGAATTTTCTTTTACTAACTATGGAAACCCAGCTAATCTTTAGCAAAGAGTAAAGGATAGCTATAATATTTGAGGGAACTCTTAGCACTGCCCACACACCCCAAAACAAAGTATAGAAGGAATCAATAAATAGAAAGTCATCTTCACTTGCCAGCCAGAATTCTGCTTTTCTGAATATGTGCTTCATCCACAATATAGAGTAGTAATTTGGAATCAATAGGAGAATGAAGATAGGTTCATAGATAAATAGATAGGTAGATGATTGATAGATAAAGTGATGCTATGATTCTAAGTTTTCACTCCTCCATATTAATCTTATAAAAACTGAAGATATATTTAAACAAAAATTATTTTTACTACAATAAGTATTATTTAACCCTCTGCATTAGTTAGGATATGAAAGACTATATTATTATAATAATCTCAAATTTTCAGTGGCTTAATACAACACATGTTGATTTATCTGTTATGCTAAGACAGCTGAAAACCCAGGTGACTCTCACCACAGCTACCCTCCATTCAGGGACCTAGTAACAGGATGCTTTGATCTAGTAGCTTGCCATCTCAACACAAGGCCTCCTCTATCCCACAGGAAGAAGAAAGAGTCTGGAGAATCCAGAAGGACCATTCTATGCCTCAGACTAGGAATGACATGCATGACTTTTACTCACATTTCACTGGATAGAATTAGAAATTAGCATTTCCTATCTGCAAGGTGAATGAGAAGTATGTAGTCTTTCCTCAAGAGGAAAAGGAAAACCAGATGCCCATGAATCATAGGGCATTCATAGGGCAAATCTCCCATCACAAATTATTTCAGTTTCTACTCCAGCTGGAAGAGGAAACACCTAGAGGAATTCATGGATATCCTCCTCAGATACCCACATTTAGGAAATCTAATTGCCTGAATCTTTCTAATATCTACCCTCCCTACACTGAGTGCTTCAGAAGTCTCCTTTACACACACCAAAAAACAAAAGGGTGAATGGGTTATTAGAAGTTTTCTTTTTTTATTATTATACTTTAAGTTTTAGGGTACATGTGCACAACGTGCAGGTTTCTTACATATGTATACATGTGCCATGTTGGTGTGCTGCAACCATTAACTCATCATTTAACATTAGGTATATCTCCTAATGCTATCCCTCCCCCGTCCCCCCACCCCACAACAGGCTCAGGTATGTGATGTTCCCCTTTCTGTGTCCATGTGTTCTCATTGTTCAATTCCCACCTATGAGTGAGAACATGCAGTGTTTGGTCTTTTGTTCTTGCAATAGTTTGCTGAGAATGATGGTTTCCAGCTTTATCCATATCTCTACAAAGGACATGAACTCATCATTTTTTATGGCTGCATACTTTTCCATGATGTATATGTGCCACATTTTCTTAATCCAGTCTATCATTGTTGGATATTTGGGTTGGTTGCAAGTCTTTGCTATTGTGAATAGTGCCGCAATAAACATGTGTGCATGTGTCTGTATAGCAGCATGATGTATAATCCTTTGGGTATGTACCCAGTAATGGGATGGCTGGGTCAAATGGTATTTCTAGTTCTAGATCCCTGAGGAATCGCCACACTGACTTCCACAATGGTTGAACTAGTTTACAGTCCCACCAACAGTGTAAAAGTGTTCCTATTTCTTCACATCCTCTCCAGCACCTGTTGTTTCCTGACTTTTTAATGATCACCATTCTAACTGGTGTGAGATGTTATCTCATTGTGCTTTTGATTTGCATTTCTCTGATGGCCAGTGATGATGAGCATTTTTTCCTGTGTCTGTTGGCTGCATAAATGTCTTCTTTCGAGAAGTGTCCATTCATATCCTTCGCCCACTTGTTGATGGGGTTGTTTTTTTCTCGTAAATTTGTTTGAGTTCATTGTAGATTCTGGATATTAGCCCTTTGTCAGAAGAGTAGATTGCAAAAATTTTCTCCCATTCTATAGGTTGCCTGTTCACTCTGATGGTAGTTTCTTTTGCTGTGCAGAAGCTCTTTAGTTTAATTAGATCCCATTTGTCAATTTTGGCTTTTGTTGCCATTGCTTTTGGTGTTTTAGACATGAGGTCCTTGCCCATGCCTATGTCCTGAATGGTATTGCCTAGGTTTTCTTCTAGGGTTTTTATGGATTTAGGTCTAACATTTAACTCCTTAATCCATCTTGAATTAATTTTTGTGTAAGGTGTAAGGAAGGGATCCAGTTACAGCTTTCTGCATATGGCTAGCCAGTTTTCCCAGCACCATTTATTAAATAGGGAATCCTTTCCCCATTGCTTGTTTTTGTCAGGTTAGTCAAAGATCAAATAGCTGTAGATATGTGGCATTATTTCTGAGGGCTCTGTTCTGTTCCATTGGTCTATATCTGTGTTTTGGTACCAGTACCATGCTGTTTTGGTTACTGTAGCCTTGTAGTATAGTTTGAAGTCAGGTAGTGTGATGCCTCCAGCTTTGTTCTTTTGGCTTAGGATTGACTTGGCAATGCAGGCTCTTTTTTGGTTCCATATGAACTTTAAAGTACTTTTTTCCAATTCTGTGAAGAAAATCATTGGTAGTTTGATGGGGGATGGCATAGAATCTATAAATTACCTTGGGCAGTATGGCCATTTTCACGATATTGATTCTTCCTACCCATGAGCATGGAATGTTCTTCCATTTGTTTGTATCCTCTTTTATTTCATTGAGCAGTGGTTTGTAGTTCTCCTTGAAGAGGTCCTTCACATCCCTTGTAAGTTGGATTCCTAGGTATTTTATTCTCTTTGAAGCAATTGTGAATGGGAGTTCACTCATGATTTGGCTCTCTGTTTGTCTGTTATTGGTGTATAAGAATGCTTGTGATTTTTGAACATTAATTTTGTATCTTGAGACTTTGCTGAAGTTGCTTATCAGCTTAAGGAGATTTTGGGCTGAGACGATAGGGTTTTCTAGATATACAATCATGTCCTCTGCAAACAGGGACAATTTGACTTCCTCTTTTCCTAATTGAATACCTTTTATTTCCTTCTCCTGCCTGATTGCCCTGGCCAGAACTTCCAACGCTATGTTGAATAGGAGTGGTGAGAGAGGGCATCCCTGTCTTGTGCCAGTTTTCAAAAGGAATGCTTCCAGTTTTTCCCCATTCAGTATGATATTGGCTGTGGGTTTGTCACAGATAGCTCTTATTATTTTGAGATACGTCCCATCAATACCTAATTTATTGAGAGTTTTTAGCATGAAGCGTTGCTGAATTTTGTCAAAGGCGTTTTCTGCATCTATTGAGATAATCATGTGGTTTTTGTCTTTGGTTCCGTTTATATGCTGGATTACGTTTCTTGATTTGCATATGTTGAACCAGCCTTGCATCCCAGGGATGATGCCAACTTGTTCGTGCTGGATAAGCTTTTTGATGTGCTGCTGGATTTGGTTTGTCAGTATTTTATTGAGGATTTTTGCATCAATGTTCATCAGGGATATTGGTCTAAAATTCTCTTTTTTTGTTGTGTCTCTGCCAGATTTTGGTATCAGGATGATGCTGGCCTCATAAAATGAGTTAGGGAGGATTCCCTCTTTTTCTGTTGATTGGAATCGTTTCAGAAGGAATGTTACAAGCTCCTCCTTGTACCTCTGGTAGAATTTGGCTGTGAATCCATCTGGTCCTGGAATTTTTTTGGTTGGTAAGCTATTAATTATTGCCTCAATTTCAGAGCCTGTTATTGGCCTATTCAGAGATTCAACTTCTTCCTGCTTTAGTCTTGGGAGGGTGTATGTGTCCAGGAATTTATCCATTTCTTCTAGATTTTCTAGTTTATTTGCGTAGAAGTGTTTACAGTATTCTCTGATGGTAGTTTGCATTTCTGGGTGATCGGTGGTGATATCCCCTTTATCATTTTTTATTGCATCTATTTGATTCTTCTCTGTTTTCTTCTTTATTAGTCTTGCTAGCGGTCTATCAATCTTCTTGATCTTTTCAAAAAACCAGCTCCTGGATTCATTGAATTTTTGAAGGGTTTTTTGTGTCTCTATTTCCTTCAGTTCTGCTCCGATCTTAGTTATTTCTTGCCTTCTGATAGCTTTTGAATTTGTTTGCTCTTGCTTCTCCAGTTCTTTTAATTGTGATGTTAGGGTGTCAGTTTTAGATCTTTCCTGCTTTCTCTTGTGGGCATACACACTGCTTTGAATGTATCCCAGAGATTCTGGTATGTTGTGTCTTTGTTCTCATTGTTTCGAAAAACATCTTTAATTCTGCCTTCATTTCAGTATGTACCCAGTAGTCATTCAGGAGCAGGTTGTTCAGTTTCCATGTAGTTGAGCGGTTTTGAGTGAGTTTCTTAATCCTGAGTGCTAGTTTGATTGCACTGTGGTCGGAGAGACAGTTTGTTATAATTTCTGTTCTTTTACATTTGCTGAGGAGTGCTTCACTTCCAACTACATGGTCAATTTTGGAATAGGTGCGGTGTGGTGCTCAAAAGAATGTATATTCTGTTGACTTGGGGTGGAGAGTCCTGTAGATGTCTATTAGGTCCGCTTGGTGCAGAGCTGAGTTCAATTCCTGGGTATCCTTGCTAACTTTCTGTCTCATTGATCTGTCTAATGTTGACAGTGGGATGTTAAATTCTCCCATTATTATTATGTGGGAGTCTCAGACTCTTTGTAGGTCTCTAAGGACTTGCTTTATGAATCTGGGTGCTCCTGTATTGGGTGCATATATATTTAGGATAGTTAGTTCTTCTTGTTGAATTGATCCCTTTACCATTATGTAATGGCCTTCTTTGTCTCTTTTGACCTTTGTTGGTTTAAAGTCTGTTTTATCAGAGACTAGGATTACAACCCCTGCCTTTTTTTCTTTTCCATTTGCTTGGTAGATCTTCCTCCATCCCTTTATTTTGAGCGTATGTGTGTCTCTGCACGTGAGATGGGTTTCCTGAATAAAGCACACCGATGGGTCTTGACTATGCAATTTGCCAGTCTGTGTCTTTTAATTGGAGCATTTAGCCCATTTACATTTAAGGTTAATATTGTCATGTGTGAATTTGATCCTGTCATTATGATGTTAGCTGGTTATTTTGCTCGTTAGTTGATGCAGTTTCTTCCTAGCCTTGATGGTCTTTACAATTTGACATGTTTTTGCAGTGGCTGGTACCAGTTGTTCCTTTCCATGTTTAGTACTTCCTTCAGGAGTTCTTTTAGGGCAGGCCTGGTGGTGACAAAATCTCTCAGCATTTGCTTGTCTGTAAAGTATTTTATTTCTCCTTCACTTATGAAGCTTAGTTTGGCTGGATATGAAATTCTGGGTTGAAAGTTCGTTTCTTTAAGAATGTTGAATATTGGCTCCCACGCTCTTCTGGCTTGTAGAGTTTCTGCCAAGAGATCAGCTGTTAATCTGATGGGCTGCCTTTTGTGGTAACCCGACCTTTCTCTCTGGCTGCCCTTAACATTTTTTCCTTCATTTCAACTTTGGTGAATCTGACAATTATGTGTCTTGGAGTTGCTCTTCTCGAGGAGTATCTTTGTGGCATTCTGTGTATTTCCTGAATCTGAATGTTGGCCTGCCTTGCTAGATTGGGGAAGTTCTCCTGGATAATATCCTGCAGAGTGTTTTCCAACTTGGTTCCATTCTCCCCATCACTTTCAGGTACACCAATCAGATGTAGATTTGGTCTTTTCACATAGTCCCATATTTCTTGGAGGCTTTGTTCGTTTCTTTTTACTCTTTTTTCTCTAAACTTCTCTTCTCGCTTCATTTCATTCATTTGATCTTCCATCACTGATACCCTTTCTTCCAGTTGATTGAATAGGCTACTGAGGCTTCTGCATTCGTCACGTAGTTCTCATGCCATGGTTTTCAGCTCCATCGGGTCCTTTAAGGACTTCTCTGCATTGGTTACTCTAGTTAGCCATTCGTCTAATCTTTTTTCAAGGTTTTAAACTTCTTTGCCATGGGTTCAAACTTCCTCCTTTAGCTCGGAGTAGTTTGTCTGAAGCCTTCTTTTCTCAACTCGTCAAAGTCATTCTCTGTCCAGCTTTGTTCCATTGCTGGTGAGAAGCTGCGTTCCTTTGGAGGAGGAGAGGTGCTCTGATTTTTAGAATTTTCAGTTTTTCTGCTCTGTTTTTTCCCCATCTTTGTGGTTTTATCTACCTTTGGTCTTTGTTGATGATGACGTACAGATGGGGTTTTGGTGTGGATGTCCTTTCTGTTTGTTAGTTTTCCTTCTAACCATCAGGATCCTCAGCTGCAGGTCTGTTGGAGTTTGCTGGAGGTCCACTCCAGACCCTCTTTGCCTGGGCATCAGCAGCAGAGGCTGCAGAACAGCAGATAGTGGTGAACAGCAAATGTTGCTGCCTGATCTTTCCTCTGGAAGTTTTGTCTCAGAGGAGTACCTGGTCGTGTGAGGTGTCAGTCTGCCCCTACTAGGGGGTGCCTCCCAGTTAGGCTACTTGGGGTTCGGGGACCCACTAGAGGAGGCATTCTGTCTGTTCTCAGATCTCAAGCTGCATGCTGGGAGAACAACTACTCTTTTCAAAGCTGTCAGACAGAGCCATTTAAGTCTGCAGAGGTTTTTGTTGCCTTTTGTTTGGCTATGCCCTGCCCCCAGAGGTGGAGTCTACAGAGGCAGGCAGGCCTCCTTGAGCTGTGCTGGGCTTCACCCAGTTCGAGCTGCCCAGCTGCTTTGTTTACCTACTCAAGCCTGGGCAATGGCGGGAGTCCCTCCCCAAGCCTCACTGCTGCCTTGCAGTTTGATCTCAGACTGCTGTGCTAGCAATGAGCGAGGCTCCGTGGGGGTAGGACTCTCTGAGTCAGGCGCGGGATACAATCTCCTGGTGTGCCATTTGCTAAGACCGTTGGAAAAGTGCAGTATTAGGGTGGGAGTGACCCAATTTTCCAGGTGCCCTCTGTCACCCCTTTCCTTGGCTAGGAAAGAGAATTCCCTGACCCCTTGTGCTTCCCAGATGAGGCGATGCCTCGCCCTGCTTCGGCTCATACTCAGTGCACTGCACCCACTGTCCTGCACCCACTGTCTGACAACCCCAGTGAGATGAACCTGGTACCTCAGTTGGAAATGCAGAAATCATTCATCTTCTGCATCGCTCACACTGGAAGATGTAGACTAGAGCTGTTCCTATTCAGCCCAGAAACAGAGTCTCTAGAAGTTTTCTATGAGCACCAAACATGGCATTTGTAATTTGCAATGTCTCTAGGATTTTTGCATAACAGTACTTTAAAAAGAGTCATTTCATTGGACGATGGAGCTAGAGGATTTATTTTAAAGATGAATTTTCATAGCAAGCATATTCTATTTGCAAAATTATAGAGTGATGATTAGTAGGATGCTAACTTGCTGCCACTGATTGCTATGTGGATAATGTTCTGACATATTTTACTTTACTTTTCAGTCTAATTCATATTAATCTATGACTATTAATCTTCTATTAACTTTTAGCATTTTCAACTAAATAGATCTTTCTAATTTGTTAATCTTAGATATCACACAATGACCTGTGTCAAAAGCAATTGCAACTTTTTTTTCCACGAACCTGCCTGCTATCTCTTTCCATTCTGTATTCTGCAGAAGTCTGTGTTACAGTATACCTTGATGACTGATATTCCATGAATCAACTGCTATATTATGTTGTAAATGGCAAATTATTTAGCATAGGTGAGTTGTCTCCAATATGGCACCTTGTAAAGTATTAGTGGAGGTGATGATTCCAATTATGAAAATATTTTGCAACTGTAAAATCCACTAAGCTACATGGCAAGTCACTTGTCTCCATTCAGTAATAATTCCTAGTATGTATTTAGCAACTACTATAAGTCAGGCACTGTTTAAATACCTACTTAAAGCTGTTAACCCTGACAAAAACTTTTAGGACGGTAGTAGTATTTTCCCAAACAATTAAAAGGCTACATAATTTGCCTTAAAGCTACCATGAAGTAATGGTTGAGTCAAGAGTCATATCCCAGCAGTTTATTCCAGAAACTCTTATGCTATATGCAATTTGCACAGTTAAAGTGGCAGCTTGGGCCAGGCACGGTGGCTCTCACCTGTACTCCCAGCATGAGGCCAAGACGGGCAGATCACCTAGCTCAGGAGTTCAAGACCAGCCTGGCCAACATGGCAAAACTCCATCTGTACCAAAAATACAAAAATCAGCTGAGCGTGATGGTGGACACCTGTAATTCCAGCTCTCAGGAGGCTGAGGCAGGAGGATCACTTGAATCCAGGAAGTGGAGGTGGCAGTGAGCTGAGATCGCACCACTGCACTCCAACCTGGGCGACACAGCGAGACTCCATCTCAAAAAAAAAAAAAAAAAAAGGCAGTTTGACATCCTTAAGAAAGACTTGGTACCACTGCCTACAGTTTAATTTATCTCCTCGACTTCTCCCTCATCTCATCCACTCTGGCTTCACGAGTTTGGGAACAGTCTTCTTTTCCACTTCTATCCATCACATCTTGTTGGAGCCACTAGGCCTTTAGAGTAGAAGAAACATTCTCTCTCTCTATCTCTCTCTCTCTCTCTCACACACACACACACACAAACACACCATTTACCTAGAGCACTCTTCCCTACATTCTGTGCTTTCACATCCCCATCTCGAATCCCAGTTATTATTACTTTGGAAGCAACTTACTAGTAGAAACATAATGTTTTTTGTTTGGGAACATTTGGGAATGAATCAATACCGTATGGTTCTCAATCACAAATGTCACACGGACATTAAAACACACCAATCCAGAGATACTGGAACAATTGTTTTGGAGCATTAAGAAATAAAGGCTGACTCAGCTGAAAGTCTTCAGAAAAAGACAGGGAAAAGGGACCTTCGATAAGCACTCTTGTCATGTTTCTCCAATATCTTGCAAGTTTGCAATATTCTTAGAAATGTTAGGATGTCACTATCAAAAATAGGTATTTTAAATTCTTTCAAATATCTTTACAGGTTTGGCTCACCTAAATCCTTGTGCTGATACGAGTCAGGATTAGGCATCCAAATATTTAGGGAAAGACAAGAGAGCCTAGATGTACAAGGGATATAATCACAATACTCAGATTTTATTTGGAAATTGGAAGTACTAAGCTACTGTGCTTTTTTATGGAAATTTTTATAAATCCAATGCAGCCATGTCCAAGACTGTAAAGCTTTTAACCATACTGCAGACATTCTGATAGTCTTTATTTGTTTATTCTAACTCTCTTGTTTAGTTTATATGTTTTCTCAAAGCCTTTTTGTTTTCTTCCTTCTGTATGTCCAAACTGTATCTACCATTCAAAACCAGTTTTTCTTACCACTTCCTTTATGGAGTTGTATGCAGATCTTTATGTTCACATCAGTTCTTCTTCATAAGAAATTCTTGAGCACTTCATTGCCTCTACTTAAAATATAACACTATATCTACTATAACAAAAATCTTTAACTCTTTTTATTGGAATCCTGCTTTTAGCTTTTCTGACATGTCTCAAAGGATATAATACCATGTTTAACACTGAGTATGACCTCAATCAATATATCGTAAGTTTAATTTAATTTTTTAAATGTTGCTAATCTTCCATATTTGGGAGCATTATAAGGTAACAATTGCAATTTTTCTGATCATATTGTTTTAGCAAGATTGTATGTCATGTACTTGAGTAATAATTTACTCTGAAGAATGCTGATGATGAAGTAATACATATATTTATCAATTGCCTTCTTCAATGGGAAGGCAAGGCTTTATTGAAATATAAACTAACTTGGTTATTACATTTGAATTTCAAAAAAAAACATCGTCAATTTGTACTTTTGAAAGTTGGAATTTTTTAAAAAGCAAATTGGGATGTCTTCCAGTGAAAATCACTTTGGAAGGCATTAAGAATGGAGAGTTTGCACTGATCTTCGACTTAGAAAATACTCACTTTAAAGAACAGTCACAAACAATTATCATAAAACTAATTTCACCAATTCTAGTTCTCTGGATTATTATTAAAACAAATGGAAGCATCTATTGGAACTGAGAAACTAAGAACAAATTTCTGACATATTCAATCTGCAGGCCTCTAAGCCAGTGGACATCGACTTCATTTAAAAAATGAGCGAGTTTATCTAACAATGTCAAATTGCCAATCAAGTTGTTATTCATCTATCTAGAATTGTCAAGTTTGATAAGAAAAGCAATTGTCAAAAGAAAGAGAAGTAATAAGAATCATGAAGGCCGCTGCTAAATTGGCCATTTGAAAGTGCAGTCCATAAAAAAGTGTTCCATAGGGTACTTCTCATGCCCATCTTTATTTCCTTACCTGAAACTAAGATCTACCTAAAAGTAAACTTTCTCTTGAATCTTAAGCTCTGAGCACAGGATTTCTTGGGCTCAAGTCTTGGTCTTTTCTTATGAAAGTTTTTATTTGTAGAAATGGGGCAATTGTGACACTTCCATATGCATCATCATATCCTATAATAAAGTAAAATGTAGCACTATCCTTGTATGCAGCTACCATGCTCTTTGTCAGAAACCTATATCACATTTCCTCTTCCAGCTATGAGTTAATTAAAATCAGTCATATTCTCTCATATCTGCTCAAGATCTACTGTTTCTGAAAATAACTTAAATAATTTTGTTATTTAAAAAATATATACATACATCACTCTGTATTTTTAATGGAGGGTGTTAGGTCTGTCATCATGGATATTTAAACTGAACAATTAATTTTCATGGGAGAACAGAACCTCAAAAGGATGCATAAAGTTAACAGGTATGTATGGTTTCTATCATTTGTGTGTTAGAGCTAATTAGTGCCAGCATGAGCTATTAGCAAAAGATAATAGTATCCTGACTGTAATATGTGTTTCTTATGATAAACTGATTCCAGCATTAACCACTGGTCCTCTGTCACCACTAGATATGCGTTTGTTCCAAAACTGAAGGGGATTATTATATTAGAGTTTTAAAAGACAATCAAACAAATAAAATTGGTCAAATATACTTCCACATTTCCCAGATAATAAAAAATTAAATAACATTTTGTCTTTTATCTAAAAGCTTTAATAATGCATTATATAAGCAACCTTTAAAAAAAAGAGTTCACCTCTTTCCTTTGGCCTCAGCTAAATTTCCCAATGAGTAATGTATCATCCAAACATATTTTAGAAAATTAGGCTTTGCATTCCATTATGCATTTGGACATTTATAGCCTGATGATAAACCTGTCTGTACCTCTGAGGGTTGAACTTATAAATCAGTGCATCCTGTAAAAAATATTACACTCCTATTTGAAATTATTGGGGTTCTATATCTTGTTCTTTTGTCTCCTCCAAAGAAATATTAATTCCCGGAAAGGGAAAAGATACAAATATTTGATTTAGAGAAAAAGGTTCTTTCTTTTATTAGATAGTGAGTTACATGGGTGTCCTTCTGGAACTCTGGATTATTTACTACATTCTCCACTAATAAAAGACCCAGAATAATAGTTTCTCCCACATGTAGAAACCTTATTGACATGATCCCTACAACTTCCTAAGTTACTTTAGGAATATAACTTGAATAAGAAGGTAGTGAAATATGCTATTCATTTGCCATCTCTGTAGCTAAAAGAAATGAAATGTGCAGAAAAAAATAGTTAATCAGGCCTGGGTTTCTCAAACCCTGCATATTCCAAAAAAAAGGTCTGCTTTCAGGATTAGTCCTAGGCCTGGCTTTTTGGCAAGGACCTCTGAGCTCTCAGTATATTCTGCCTGACAGGAGTATTTTTTGCATGCCTGAGGCCTTGAGCCACACTATATCAGTGTGGAAGCTGGAGTCTAAGTAGTCATGCAGGTACTGCATAACAACCTGACTAATTCCCCAGTTAAAACCCCAGACACCAAAGCTTGGGTGAGCTTCCCTGTTTGGCAACACTTTGCGCATTTAGTCATGTCTTATTTCGGAATTAACACATCCCCCATGCAAATGCACTGAGAGGGGAACTAGAAGCTTGCAACTGGTTTCCCCTGGATTTTGTCCCATGAACCTTTTGTACTTGCTGATTCTAATCTTCATACTTTTCTTATAATAAACCACAATTGTGAATATGACAGCTTTTCAGAATCCTATGAGTCCTTCAATCCTAAAGCCGCAGGAATGATCAAACCTGAGGATGGTCATAGGGACTCACAAACAAAATCTAATGCCAGTTTTCAAGAGAAATAAGTGCATTTATTTCAGTCAGGTCCACGTTAATCTACGGTGGGATTCCTACTCAGGATTAGAGGCTTACCCAGCCATTTTGCAGGCTTCTCTAACTGTTCACCAAGCCTGTTGGCATGGCCATGTTGTGCCTTCTGCCATACTCCACACTGTGGTATGGGTGCACTCCTCAACTTGCTGACATACATAAGGGCTTATCTGTCCTCAGAAACAATGGGAATAAGTCTCTGCTTCAGAGTGATTCAGGACTAATCACAAATAAGATAATATAATTCCCATTTACAAAGAGTAGAATTTGGGAATTTCAGGATACATAAATTCCACCAAAAATCTTCATTAAAGCTAGAATTGAAGAGTCCCTTATTAATGACTTAAAAAAATACTCTGCTGTCTCTCTAAAGTTGAGAGTAAGCCATCATTTCATTATGCTATTTAGGCAGTATCAGGATTTTTCTAAATGACTTTATTTCAACTGGATATATGCTTCTTTGATCTTATATAGCACATCTGCTCCTTTAATTTTACGCATAAATGTTACACATTCAGAGACTACTTTATTTAGACTCAATTATAGGAATCTTTCACACTAAAAGTTGATCCTCAAGTCTCATTGAAAATAAAAGAATATTGATCATTTATTCTAATTAAAAGATGTTCTTAAAAATCATAGGTAGCATTCAGTGATTCTAAATGGTATCAATTATTATTTTTACTGTGTTGCTGTTGTTAAGTTTGTTGATTTTTCTAAGTTGAGTAAAAAATTATGATATCTCTCAAAAGATCCTGAAAGAATTTGCCAGGCCAAACTAAGATTGAGTACCAGTAAAATGAATTTGAAATTAAACTTCATAACATCATAATTTTTTTAAAGCCTAGATCTAAGTTTCCAAGTATAAGCAGAAAAACAGAAAAGAAAAATCTTCCTCCTTCTGCCAAAAATAAACAACCTAGTGGTTATTTAAACATTAATATTAATAAATAAAAGTAATAATAATTAATGATTGGTATGGTTACATATAGCCAACCTCCTTTCATCAATTCTGTTTTTGATACATTTGTATAAAGTCAAGCCTATAGCTATAAAGGAATAAAATTATGGTTATATCTGGGAAATGGTGAGGGTGTTTCCATTTATATAAGAAAAGAGGAAAGTCTTACAATTCAGGGATAGGAAGCTATGATTTACATAATGAACATGGCAAAGAGACCTATAAAGAAATAAGACTTAGATGGCAGAAAATCACATTGGCTTTACTCCAAGATACCAGGCACATCCCTGGAAAATTCTGATGTGCCGGAATATAACAGTATGTACTTTTCCCAGAGCCAGAATCAGTGCAATATTTGGCTTTCCTACTTACACTTGGAACATTGGATTCTTTTTCTCAGATCCATCAGGGTTCCATTTATGTTTAGCACCTGCATGCAGCCCAGGGGCTCTAAAAAGCCATTTTATGTATGGATATGAATTGCTTAACAATATAGTCGTTTCACAACTTAAATGGATTCATTTTGATAATCTTCAACCCCTTTAATATCCAGCAATCATGAGAATTAAAGTGTTAGACAATTGTAATAACCCCTTTTAAAATAAGTTTTTACAAATTTTACCATCATAAATAGGGAGAAATTGCTATCAATGTGATTTATATACAATGATAGAAATTTATCAAATAGTCAAAGCCAAGCCACTATATGTAACCAGGGTTAAGAACCGAAATTCTAAAGTGTGAATCCCAGCTCTACCATTTACTAGCTCTGTGATACTTACTAAATAATATAATTTCTTGAAACACCAGTTTTTTCATCTTTAAATAAGGGTAATAATTTGTGCTAACTTGTAAAAGTAAGGTGAAATTGAAAAGAGCATGATCGATGTAAAATGTTTTCTCATAGGGGTTGGTTCATAATAAGTGTTCAGTGAAAGTTAATGTGGTGGGTTAGAAGCTTTGAATGTGGAAAGCCCACACCCCTCCCTATCTCTCTTTGCCAGTAAAATGTGAACTAGATGGGAAAATAGAACTAAATTCATGTATGAAAATTCCCAAAAGAGAATGATAAAATCTAACAAAGAATTTTTCTTCACTCTTTGGAGCAGAAGAAGGGATTGAGGGTGCAAAATAGCAGGGACAGGCCGGCCATAGTGGCTCATGCCTGTAATCCCAACCCTTTGGGAAGCCAAGGTAGATGGATTGCTTGAGCCCAAGAGTTGGAGACCAGCCTGGACAACATATCAAAACCCCATCTCTACTAAAAATGCAAAAAATTAGCTAGGTATGGTGGCATGCACCTGTGGTTCCAGCTACTCAGGAGGCTGAGGTGGGAGGGTCACCTGAGCCCAGGAAATCGAGACTGCAGTAAGCTGTGATCGCATCACTCCACTCCAGCCTGCACAATAGGAGTGAGACCCTGTCTTAAAAAAAAAAAAAAAAAAAAGTAACAGGGACAGGTGTGCATGGATAAGAGTGGTACAATGGGATAAGAAAATGAGAGATTCCCAAGAGCTGGGAATGTCAGAAAATAGAAAAGCATAAGAGATTTAACGTGTTAATGTTGACAGAACCACTGGATTCTCATTAATTGAGAGAAATATGAATAAAGATTGAAATTTTTACCTGAAACTTATTTTTGGTTTGTGCTTTTTGTTTGTTTGTTCATTTGCTTGCTTTGATTGTTTGTTTTTTGTTTTTTCATGCACCATATTCCAGGAATGGATTTTGGTAGTCACACATTACAGAAGTGTTGAGGGCTGAATTGTGGCACTCCAAAATCATGTGTTGAAGTCCTAACTCCTAGAACCTCAGGCTGTATTTGAAGACAGGATCTTCAAAGAGGTGATTAAATTAAAATGAAAGCATTAGGGTGGGCCCTAATCCAATCTGACTTGTGTTTTTGAAAGAAGGGGAAATTTAGAAGGAAAGACACCAGGGATTTGCCCACACCATGAAAAGACCACATGAAGGCACAGAGAGAAAGAAGCCATCTACAAGCCAAGGAGAGAGGCCTTACAAGAAACCAAAACTGCCAACACTTTGATCTTGGACTTCTGGCCTCTAGAACTGTGATAAAATAAATGTCTGTTGATTAAACCACCCAGTCTGTGGTATTTTATATCAAACCTAAGACAAGTTGTAAGCATGTATATTAACTATAAAGGGACAATATGCTTACTGGTTAAAGTTGTGAGATACAGAGTTTGCCTCGAATCAGACTGGTTGTGTTTGAATTCTGGTTCCCTACTTTCTGGTTGTATGACTTTAAACAGATTACATATTTTCTTCATGCCTCAATTTTTTCATCTACAAAAGAATGGGTATTATAATGCTGTCAACCTCATTTGATTGTTGTAAGGCTTAAATGAGATAAAAAGTAATACAGCAGTGACTGTCATAGAGTATTGATCCATAATTTTAACTATTTTAATGAGCTATTATAATTATTTTTAAGGATTCTTTGTCCTTCTAACCTTCGGCATGTTCATTTCTCATGGCAATGTTGTGGAGTCCCTGGGTCAACAGAAGCAATTTTAGCTATGAAACAATTACAAGGAACAGCTTACTCCAAGTCACATGTATCTACAGATCCTCATTCATTGGGGTTACAGTGAGAAGCAGTCTTCTCATTTGATAATCTCCAAAGGTTGGGATTCACTGGAGAAAATGTATCCAGTAAAGAAATTTGAATAAAAATCAAGTTAGGGAAGCAAGAGAGAGTATTGCACTTTAATTTTCTAAATTCTGACATTCTGAAATATATTTGTTGCATACTATTTTTAATAACTAGTTTTTACTGTTCTATTATTAGTTGGCAGTACTAGACACTGCTCTAAGTGCTTTACATATATTAACTCATTTCATCTTCATTATAAGCATATGAAATAGACATCAATTATAATGAGGAGACTGAGTTACCAAGAGGCTCAATAATATGTTCAAGGTTAGAGAGCTAGCAAGTGGCAGTCAGAATTTGAATGCTGGTGGTCTGGGGCCAGAGTCTGCTCTTACCTACTCTCTATACTACCGCAAAAGTTTATTAGGCAGATAATTGTTTTTCTCAAATATATCTAACACAAAGTGTCTATTCTCAGGATGACACAATACTGTCAATTATTATGAAAAAAAGTGGTATGAGTCATTCATTTGAACATTAAACAAATATATCACAGTGGTTAAAAACAAGATCTCTGCCCTTAGGCTTGTATCCCCGATCTATGTAAACTTAGGTACATTATATAAGTGGATCTATATAAAACTATTGGGGATCATTTTCAAAATAATATGAGCAAAGGTAACCATATAAGAAAAACCGATTATATACCAGGAACATGGCTGCACAGTTTTCCTAGATTATACAGGGTGCACTTTAAGTACTAGAAATAATTCTAGAAAGATAGGGTTGGGGTTTGCTTAAAAAGACCCTTGATTGGCCAGGGGTGGTGGCTCACGCCTGTAATCCCAGCACTTTGGGAGGCTGAGGTGGGTGGATCACAAGCTCAGGAGATCGAGACCATCCTGGCTAACACGGTGAAACCCCATCTCTGCTAAAAATACAAAAAATTAGCTGGGCACGGTGGTGGGCGTCTGTAGTCCCAGCTACTTGGGAGGCTGAGGCAGGAAAATGGTGTGAAACTGGGAGGCGGAGCTTGCAGTGAGCCAAGATCGCGCCACTGCCCTTTAGCCTGGGCGACAGAGCAAAACTCTGTCAAAAAAATTTTTTTAGATGAGAATCACAACAGGTTCTTGAGCAGGAGATTAAATTTTTCAGGGTGACCTGAATGGGATGTGCAGAAGAGACTGAATATGGAGGTTAAGTAAAGCAGGAACACCATTACAATATTTTCAGAAATTAGACAGTAGGAATACGAACTTGGTTTGTTCCAATAACCAGGTAAATACAGACAATAATAAAAAAAAGTGTTGCACAAGAAAAGTCAGATTTGCCTACTCATTAGATGGGAGTAGAAAGTAAGAATGAAATAAGACTAAAAAAAAAAAAAAAAACTGAGGTTCTGTGAGTCTGAGTTCCTTGGCTCATTCAAGTGCTCATAAGAGAAAATGATAGGAGGAGAAGTCTATGAAATATCACTGCAGTTTGTTTCCCATCCATGTAAATACATTTCAGATACATCTACCTTTGGAAACTAAAGACTGTCCATATAAGGTCCTAATGATTTTGTGAGGCTAAGCAGCAAACGTAAGAAGCTATGTTTGCTCATTTCTCCTTGCCCGCATGATTTTACAAAGCCCCTGACTCTGTGAGAACATACAGCTCTCCAGAAGCATGCTTTGAAGACAAAACAGGATAGAGCAAACAGCCCCAAAATGTTTCTTGCCTGAATCACTACATTCCTTAGAAGTTAAATGATCCTCGTCTTTGCCTTTTCCTATACATAAAATAACATCGGACGGGGTTAGCGATTATGCTTCTTAATCTATAACCAGATGCACTCTTACATGTAAACTTTGATGTGACGCTGCTTTAATGTAACTTCTGAGCAAGTTTGACATGTTTTGGCATGCACCGAACCTCCAACACCTGTATGTATGCAGTGGGCTGAAACAGTGTGTCCTGTGCCCAAGCAGACTAACCTTTCTACAGGTCTCCGGATCCCAGGCTAGAGATCTCAGTCTATAGCCCTCAATAAGACTTCTGAATCAAACTAACCTTAATTCTTTAAAAGCTTGATTTATCCTTTAGCAACTCTTTAAAACAACAGGGACCAGGAAGAAACACCTTTGAATTAAAGATATATAAATTCACCATTATTTGATTTTAAGTGAGCCAACTTAAGCATAAAATGAGATTGTTCCTTCAGGCAAACCACTTGCTATTGACACAAATGGTTATTTGACAAGGGATTTAGAGAAAGAAAAAAAAAAAAGAAAGGCAGAAGAAAAAACTAAAATGTAAACACTGCTTTAATCCTCTTTCTTTTTGCTTTTTGCTAGGTGCTTTACAAATTGTGAGTTAATACTGAGTATTTTCAGACTTTTAAAAACACTTACTTGATATTAAATGTTTCTAGATGCACATTGCTCTGGGTCAAATTTCCAAGTTTTATATTTGTTCAGATAATATAATTTAGATGACTTGGGAATTACTCTTCAAATTCTAGCTGGCTTTAAAACACCAATATCAACTTAATAGGATTTTACTGAATTTTAAGAATTTCAGAGACGTGAGATTTTTTCAGAGACACTGAAGATTCTCTTCAAAATCTGCAGCAGAATCTCCAGAGTTGTTTTTGTTTTTTTGTTGTTGTTGTTTCTGTTTTTTTTCTAATAAGTCATTATGCATCTACAGAAGCCAGCATATTCTCGGGAGTTTTAACAGATGACATTCTTTACTTTGCCAGCAAACTACTCCAGGATGCATAACAGACCAATGAATTACTCCAGCAGCGCACTAAATGGGGACCTGAAAAAAGTTAATGCACTTTTGTACATGCCAAATTTTTACAAAGTGGCCTACTTAAAAAAACAGATGACAACCTAGAGTACTAAACAAATTAAATTTCTTAATAACAAATATTACTTAACAATATAAAAGTAACAAAGGAAAGCAAATACACTTTGAAAAAATGTGGGTTTTTTTTGTTTTGTTTCTGGGGTTTTGTTTTTTGTTTTTTGTTTTTGACTTCTCAGGGAAAAGCAATCTGATAAAACCATTAAAACCTTCCCCCCACTCCCGAACTTGGCCATGCGAGGTGGCTGTAATCCCTGAAATCCCAGCACTTTGAGAGCCCAAGGCCAGCGGATCACTTGAGGCCAGAAAAAATTAGCTAGGAATGTTGTCGCATGCCTGTAGTTCCAGCTACTCCGGAGGCTGAGGCACAATAACTGCTTGAATGTGGGGGGCGAGAAGGGGGTGCGGATGGCGCGGTGGTGGGCGGAGGTTGCAGTTAGCCAAGATCGCGCCATCCGCCACCCACCACTCACTACTGCACTCCAGCCTGGGCAACAGAGACAGACTTTCTCTCAAAAAAAAAAAAAAAAAAAAAAAAAAAAAAGGAAACCTTCCACCCACTCCCTAAAGTATAATTTAAAATACAGAGGAAGGTTAGTAATTTCTGCATTTTGGTATTTGAGTTTAGCCAAGTGCACAATTAGAACAGAGCAAAGATTATCTTGCTCTTAATTGCTCCAGTAATACAAACTGGATAAATATGCATATGTATATAAAACTGTTTATTTATACAATTCTTCTAAATATGTAATTTTGTGTTTTCAGGTAAAAACACTGTGTATAATAGAATATGGGCTTGACAGTCGACAGATCTGGGTTCAAATACTGGCTCTGCTGCCTTCTAGTTTTGTGACACTGGGCAAGTTACTTAGTCTCTCCAAGCCTCACTTTCCTCACCTGTAAAATAAAAATAATGATAGCAATTATCCCGTAAGGCTTACATAAATACTAAATTATTACTCTACAAAATCACTTATCATTGTGCCCGCCATATGAGATGCTCTCAATAAATGCTGGCTTTAATAATAGTGACTATACTGTTTATTTTACTCTCATTAAATAATAGGTATCATTAAGGCAAAGATTATACCATACTATGTTATTGTAATTCTATATACCATCTAACACTGCATATATTACTCCCAGGCTTCAGTGACTGCTTTTCAAAGATTTTCTCTCCTTTTTCCTCTGCATGAGTTACTGACATATCCTACAATTCCCTAGATTTGAATGTCTTTGAAACTTGTAAGGAAAGTCAGCATAAAGCAGAGCTATCACCAAAGATTTATTTGAAATTTGAAAAATAAGATGTAAGGAAGGGATCCAGTTTCAGCTTTCTACATATGGCTAGCCAGTTTTCCCAGCACCATTTATTAAATAGGGAATCCTTTCCCCATTTCTTGTTTTTGTCAGGTTTGTCAAAGATCAGATGGTTGTAGATGTGTGGTATTATTTCTGAGGGCTCTGCTCTGTTCCATTGGTCTATATCTGTGTTTTGGTACCAGTACCATGCTGTTTTGGTTACTGTAGCCTTGTAGTATAGTTTGAACTCAGGTAGCGTGATGTGTCCAGCTTTGTTCTTTTGGCTTATGATTGTCTTGGCAATGCAAGCTCTTTTTGGGTTCCATATGAACTTTACTTAAATGTTAGACCTAAAACCATAAAAACCCTAGAAGAAAACCTAGGCAATACCATTCAGGACATAGGCATGGGCAAGGACTTCATGTCTAAAACACCAAAAGCAATGGCAACAAAAGCCACAATTGACAAATGGGATCTAATTAAACTAAAGAGCTTCTGCACAGCAAAAGAAACTACCATCAGAGTGAACAGGCAACCTACAGAATGGGAGAAACGTTTTGCAATCTACTCATCTGACAAAGGGCTAATATCCAGAATCTACAAAGAACTCAAACAAATTTACAAGAAAAAAACAAACAACCCCATCAAAAAGTGGGCAAAGGATATGAACAGACACTTCTCAAAAGAAGACATTTATGCAGCCAAAAGACACATGAAAAAATGCTCATCATCACTGGCCATCAGAGAAACACAAATCAAAACCACAATGAGATACCATCTCACACCAGTAAGAATGGCAATCATTAAAAAGTCAGGAAACAACAGGTGTGGAAGAGGATGTGGAGAAATAGGAACACTTTTACACTGTTGGTGGGACTGTAAACTAGTTCAACCATTGTGGAAGACAGCGTGGCGATTCCTCAGGGATCTAGAACTAGAAATACCATTTGACCCAGCCATCCCATTACTGGTTATATACCAAAAGGATTATAAATCATGTTTCTGTAAAGACACATGCACATGTATGTTTATTGTGGCACTATTCACAATAGCAAAGACTTGGAACCAACCCAAACGTCCAACAATGATAGACTGGATTAAGAAAATATGGCACATATACACCATGGAATACTATGCAGCCGTAAAAAAGGATGAGTTAATGTCCTTTGTAGGGACATGGATGAAGCTAGAAACCATCATTCTCAGCAAACTATTGCAAGGACAGAAAATCAAACACTGCATGTTCTCACTCATAGGTGGGAATTGAACAATGAGAACACTTGGACACGGGTAGGGGGAGCATCACACACCAGGGCCTGTTGTGGGGTTGGGGGAGGGAGGAGGGATAGCATTAGGAGATATACCTAATGTAAATGATGAGTTAACGGGTGCAGCATACCAACATGGCACATGTATACATATGTAACAAACCTGCCCATTGTGTACATGTACCCTAGAACTTAAAGTATAATAAAAATAATAAAAGAAATTTGAAAAACAAAACCAGAGCCAGAAACAGAACAAATATTTTGTCCAAATTCTTGTAATAGAAAAGGTTTCCCCATCCTCTAAAGCTAGAAGCCCCACCCTCTAAAGTCCTTACATACCAAAGCCAGAATACTAGGACTATGCATAACCATGTTTAATGTGTTCATTCATTCTATAAAATACCATAGCAACTCCACTGTCTTCGACAGGTAGTTGTCTATCTATCTTCAGTGTTTACCCTCTTTCCACTGGCAATGCAAAGAATCTGCACTTCTGAGTTGGGAAGATAAGACATGAACATGAAACAATTTATGAATTCTCTTGGAGGTAAGGCTCATTTTTTTTTTCGACAGAGTCTCGCTATGTCACCCAGGATGGAGTGCAGTGGCATGATCTCTGCTCGCTGCAACCTCCGCCTCCCAGATTCAAGTGATTCTTCTGCCTCAGCCTCATGAATAGCTGGGACTACAGGTGTGCACCACCACACCTGGCTGAGGCTAAATATTCTTAGAGAACTTTCATCTCTTTAGAATCTAATGGTGTTGGAAGATAATTACATTTGTAAAAGTAGAAACTGTGGACTTATAATCACAATAACTAGGGTTCCAAATTTTGGCCAGAATCATAGCCTTCTCTTTACTCTTCTCCCTACATTTACTCAGTTCCAGTCCATTCTAAACTTGGCCACCAGAGTGATCTTTCAAAACATAAATTTTACTCTGTCATAATCCTGCTTAAGACCTATCATTGATGACCCATTAGAAATTGAAATCTAAACCCTCAGACAAATATACAAGTTATTCTGGGTCAGCCCTGTCATATGTACCTCAGCCTCATCTCTAGCCACTGCCCTTCTACACCTAAACCTTGGGCAATATGAAACAGTACAGGCTCACATGGCTGTTCTTTCTCATGGCCTCTTGCCCTGCTACCTGCCTCTTCCTCTGCTTAGAATACCCTTTTCTCTCCCTTTTCTCTCCCTTCAGAGACACTCTTAGTTACCTTTCAGATCCAACTTCAAATGTAACATCCACAGGAAATCTTTTGACAACTTGAGATTAAATAAGATTCTCTTCAATCATTAATTCAACAAATATTTGAGCACCTACTGTGTATCAAGTATTACTCTGCACTCTGGAAATCAAGCAGTAATCACATTAACTACAGTTCCTCCTGGATCTTACTTCATAATGGGGATGAAAGAGAATAAACATATAAGTAAAACACGTAAGTAAAAATAAAATGCATAGTACGGCAGAAAAATAAAACAGGCTAGGGGATCTAGGGCACCCTGACTAGTGGCATAGTTGCTGTTAAACAGGGTAGTCAGGAAAAATCTTTAATGACACAATGAAATTTAAGCAGCAATCCTAAGGAAGTGAGGGAACTAAGCAGGCGTATGTCCAGAGGACGAGTGTTCCAGACTGCCAGAACAGCAAGTGCAAAGAACCTGAAACAGGGACATGTTTCGTGTGTTTTAGGAACTGGAAAGCATGCCCATGTGCTTTAACTCATCAGGGGCAGAGTGGTGATGGAAGATGGGAGAGATGTGTTGGGTCTTTCACCTTGTAAGCCTTGTGCAGACTCCACATTTACTGTGAGTGAATTGAGAAGCCACTGGGGGCATTTGTGCTTAGGAGTGTCATGATCCAACTTATGTTGAAATGCATTACTCAGGTTTCTGCCTCAAAAGTAGACTATATCGAGACCAGGAAGAAAACTGATGGTTCAGTTTTAAAAATTTACAATGGCTTGAAGGAAAGATAATGGGGCTTCCTATATGTTCCTTTTGCCTGTTAACCATAAGTCTAGCCTGCCATTTTCCTACTCTTGTAAATTTGTCTTGATAAAACTATGATTTCCCTAAGAGAAGAAATTGGCCTTTTATCACTCTATCAGCAGCGTTTTACAAAAAACTTGCCATATTGTAAAATTCAATAAATGTTTACTGAATGAATAAATCTATTAACACAAACTTTTAAAGACATTCATACCCTGAACATTTTTTATATCATGTTTGTGTTTAAAAAAATTTGGTTTAAGCAGACCTAATAGACATCTACAGAACTCTCCACCCCAAATCAACAGAATATACATTTTTTTCAGCACCACACCATACCTATTCCAAAATTGACCACATACTTGGAAGTAAAGCTCTCCTCAGCAAATGTAAAAGAATAGAAATTATAACAAACTGTCTCTCAGACCACAGTGCAATCAAACTAGAACTCAGGATTAAGAAACTCACTCAAAACCGCTCAACTACATGGAAACTGAACAACCTGCTCCTGAATGACTACTGGGTACATAACGAAATGAAGGCAGAAATAAAGATGTTCTTTGAAACCAATGAGAACAAAGACACAACATACCAGAATCTCTGGGACACATTCAACGCAGTGTGTAGAGGGAAATTTATAGCACTAAATGCCCACAGGAGAAAGCAGGAAAGATCCAAAATTGACACGCTAACATCACAATTAAAAGAACTAGAAAAGCACGAGCAAACACATTCAAAAGCTAGCAGAAGGCAAGAAATAACTAAAATCAGAGCAGAACTGAAGGAAATAGAGACACAAAAAACCCTTCAAAAAATTAATGAATCCAGGAGCTGGTTTTTTGAAAGGATCCACAAAATTGATAGACCGCTAGCAAGACTAATAAAGAAGAAAAGAGAGAAGAATCAAATAGATGCAATAAAAAATGATAAAGAGGATATCACCACCGATCCCACAGAGATACAAACTACCATCAGAGAATACTACAAACACCTTTATGCAAATAAACTAGAAAATCTAGAAGAAAAGGATAAATTCCTCGACACTTACACCCTCCCAAGACTAAAGCAGGAAGAAGTTGAATCTCTGAATAGACCAATAACAGGCTCTGAAATTATGGCAATAATCAATAGTTTACCAACCAAAAAGAGTCCAGGACCAGATGGATTCACAGCCGAATTCTACCAGAGGTACAAGGAGGAACTGATACCATTCCTTCTGAAACTATTCCAATCAATAGAAAAAGAGGGAATCCTCCCTAACTCATTTTATGAGGCCGGCATCATGCTGATACCAAAGCCGGACAGAGACACAACCAAAAAAGAGAATTTTAGACCAATATCCTTGATGAACATTGATGCAAAAATCCTCAATAAAATACTGGCAAAACGAATCCAGCAGCACATCAAAAAGCTTATCCATCATGATCAAGTGGGCTTCATCCCTGGGATGCAAGGCTGGTTCAATATACACAAATCAATAAATGTAATCCAGCATATAAACAGAACCAAAGACAAAAACCACATGATTATCTCAACAGATGCAGAAAAGGCCTTTGACAAAATTCAACAACACTTCATGCTAAAAACTCTCAATAAATTAGGTATTGATGGGACGTATCTCAAAATAACAAGAGCTATCTATGACAAACCCACAGCCAATATCATACTGAATGGGCAAAAACTGGAAGCATTCCTTTTGAAAACTGGCACAAGACAGGGATGCCCTCTCTCACCACTCCTATTCAACATAGCATTGGAAGTCCTGGCCAGGGCAATTAGGCAGTAGAAGGAAATAAAGGGTATTCAATTAGAAAAAGAGGAAGTCAAATTGTCCCTGTTTGCAGATGACTCGATTGTATATCTAGCAAACCCCACTGTCTAAGCCCAAAATCTCCTTAAGCTGATAAGCAACTTCAGCAAAGTCTCAGGATACAAAATCAATGTGCAAAAATCACAAGCATTCTTATACACCAATAACAGACAAACAGAGAGCCAAATCATGAGTGAACTCCCATTCACAATTGCTTCAAAGAGAATAAAATACCTAGGAATCCAACTTACAAGGGATGTGAAGGACCTCTTCAAGGAGAACTACAAACCACTGCTCAAGGAAATAAAAGAGGATACAAACAAATGGAAGAACATTCCATGCTCATGGATAGGAAGAATCAATATCGTGAAAATGGCCATACTGCCCAAGGTAATTTATAGATTCTATGCCAACTCCATCAAGCTACCAATGACTTTCTTCGCAGAATTGGAAAACACTACTTTAAAGTTCATATGGAACCAAAAAAGAGCCCGCCTTGCCAAGTCAATCCTAAGCCAAAAGAACAAAGCTGCAGGCATCACGCTACCTGACTTCAAACTAAACTACAAGGCTACAGTAACCAAAACAGCATGGTACTGGTACCAAAACAGAGATATAGATCAATGGAACAGAACAGAGCCTTCAGAAATAACGCCGCATATCTACAACTATTTGATCTTTGACAAACCTAAGAAAAACAAGCAATGGGGAAAGGATTCCCTATTTAATAAATGGTGCTCGGAAAACGGGCTAGTCATATGTAGAAAGCTGAAACTGGATCCCTTCCTTACACCTTATACAAAAATTAATTCAAGATGGATTAAAGACTTAAATGTTGGACCTAAAACCATAAAAACTCTAGAAGAAAACCTAGGCAATACCATTCAGGACATAGGCATGGGAAAGGACTTCATGTCTAAAACACCAAAAGCAATGGCAACAAAAGACAAAATTGACAAATGGGATCTAATAATTAAACTTAAGAGCTTCTGCACAGCAAAAGAAACTATCATCAGAGTGAACAGGCAACCTACAAAATGGGAGAAAATTTTCACAACCTACTCATCTGACAAAGGGCTGATATCCAGAATCTACAATGAACTCAAACAAATTTACAAGAAAAAAACAAACAACCCCACCAAAAAGTGGGCAAAGGACATGAACAGACACTTCTTAAAAGAAGACATTTATGCAGCCAAAAAACACATGAAAAAATGCTCACCATCGCTGGCCATCAAAGAAATGCAAATCAAAACCACAATGAGATACCATCTCACACCAGTTAGAATGGCAATCATTAAAAAGTCAGGAAACAACAGGTGCTGGAGAGGATATGGAGAAATAGGAACACTTTTACACTGTTGGTGGGACTGTAAACTAGTTCAACCATTGTGGAAGTCAGTGTGGCGATTCCTCAGGGATCTAGAACTAGAAATACCATTTGACCCAGCCAACCCATTACTGGGTATATACCCAAAGGACTATAAATCATGCTGCTATAAAGACACATGCACACATATGTTTATTGTGGCATTATTCACAATAGCAAAGACTTGCAACCAACCCAAATGTCCAACAATGATAGACTGGATTAAGAAAATGTGGCACATATACACCATGGAATACTATGCAGCCGTAAAAAATGATGAGTTCATGTCCTTTGTAGGGACATGGATGAAATTGGAAATCATCATTCTCAGTAAACTATGGCAAGGACAAAAAACCAAACACCGCATATTCTCACTCATAGGTGGGAATTGAACAATGAGAACACATGGACACAGGAAGGGGAACATCACACTCTGCGGACTGTTGTGGGGTTGGGGGAGAGGGGAGGGATAGCATTAGGTGATATACCTAATGCTAAATGACGAGTTAATGGGTGCAGCACACCAGCATGGCACATGTATACATATGTAACTAACCTGCACATTGTGCACATGTACCCTAAAACTTAAAGTACAATAATAATAAAATAAAAAATAAATAAAAAATTTGGTTTAATTGACTAGTAGAAAAATCAGTATGATCTTTTGCTTTGTCAGATAGTGGCCTCAATTCTATCCAGTAAAAACATTAAAGAATATAACTGGGGCTGTGAGCCAATCTCACAAATGGCAATTGAAATAGTAAAGGTAATAGATTTTGATAAGTATATTAAATGAAAACCATCAATAATGTTCATAAAAAATGTAAAGTGACATTAATAAATAAATATCTGTTTCATATTATTAAGGTCAATTGAGGAAAAAATCTAATTGTGGTAAATATATAAATAAGTATTTTGGCAAAAAGCATTTGAAATTTGAATGATAATAAAATGAGGAAAAGTCTATGACTCAAGGAAAGTTTTAATATTCTAGAACCTTACAGCATCACAAAAAAAGCATTTGTTTATGTATTAGTTTGCTATTGCTGCTGTAACAAAATACTACAAACTTACTAGGTTCAAACTACACAAATTTATTACCATATTTCTGTAGGCCAGAAGTCTGACACAGGTCTCACTGAGCTAAAAGCCAGGTATTGGCAGGGTTGCATTTATTCTGGATGCTCTAGGGGACAATATGTTTTCTTGCTTTTCCAGCTTCCAGTGGCTGGCTGTATTCCTTGGTTCATCGCCCACTTCCTTCAAATTCAAAGCCAGTAATTGCAGTTTGAGTGCTTCTCACATTATATTATCCTGTCCTCCTCTTTTTCCTCCCTCTTCCATTTTTAAAGACCCTGGTATTTATGTTATTCCCACCCAAACAATCCAGGATAATCTCCCTAATATAAAGTCAGCTGATCAGCAGCCTTAATACCACTTCAATTTTAACTCCCTTTTGCCAAGTAATGTACCACGTTCACATTTCACAGGAATTTGGACACAGAAATATTTGGGATTCATTATTCTGCCTATCACAGTATAATACAAGTATATCAATGAGAAGGCATTTAGAGAAACTCGTGGCATATATTGAAGGCCACATTACAAATAAAAAGAAAGTAACTATGAAGAAATTTCAGCATGAAACTTTACTGAAATTAATAATACTTCAAAAGAGTTACATCATATCTGTACTAAACATCTAGGATATTTTAAGTCTGTTTTTTTGTTTATTCAATCTCCATAACTTTGTAGATAATATCCATCAATGTTTATAAAACCTGGAATATTTTTTAATAATGTTATTTTTGAATAACTTTTGCTCTAGCATAAATGATCTAAACACACACCCATGCACACACATACACACACAACAATCATAGAGAAAGAGAGAAGAATTAGTGAACAAATTTGGAATAATATGCATTTTTAATATGAAATGCATTTTCACCTACCCATTGTAAAAATCATTTTATAGCTAGTACTCAGTGCTGTAGGGAATACAAAGAAATTATCTCTCTCCTACCCTGGTGGTGGAACTGTTAGTTTCAGCATTCTTTCTGTAAAGAATTCAGCAATAGAAACTTTCAAAATCTCTGGGTTTTTTTGCTCTAAAAATCCCATTTAAAGAAAAATCTATCCTACGTATGAAACAGAAATGTGAAAAAAATTCATTACAGTGAAATAAAAGATCAAGAATTGGAAATGACATAAATTATGGCATATCTATGCAAGGGAACACTATACAGTCATCAAAATTAGGTTTCTAAAATTTTTAGTTTTATGATAAAATATGATAAGTAAAAGTCTTGCAAGTCATATTATATACGCATTATGATTTCAACTACATGAAAATACACATGTATGGGCAAATGACTGAAACAAAATATTATGTGGTAGCTTCTAAGTGATGTAATTTTGAGAATTTTTTATCCTCTTTTCCTAATTTTCAAATGGGCTTATACTTTCAGAAATGTATACTTTTTAGAAACAGTACTATGCATTTGAATTAATAAGCCATGTTTTCATACAAATATTTGATCATCTCCTTCTGGCATTTTCTTCTCTTCCCTGCCCTCTAATCAAGCACAGAGTAACTGATTGGAGTTAAGGCTTTGTTTTACAAATCAAACAAATTAAATGAAAAAGGTAAAAGTTGTATCTCTACCCATTTCTCTTTTAATTTGTGAACTAACTTCTTTAAAGTACTAGTAACTACAATCCAATGCCATTTTGGATTTCCTTACATCAGTTTCAAACAGATTCTGTTTTCCAGGAATCCCCTACCTTATTCTCTAGCTAGACAGTAAAAGTAACATTTTCAGAAAAACAAAATTTTTAACTCTGCAAGTCAGTTTTTTAAATTTCAGATTTATTGAACTATTATAGCATCCTGTGATATCTGACATATAAAAATTTAAAAGGAAGAGTAAAAGAAAAATAGAAGAAAAGTAAATGTTTGCCTCTTTGTTCATTAAAAAAGTAATAAAATAACAAAATGTCTTTTATTGTCAAGCTTAAATAAAAACCAAAGGCCAACATTCAAAATCATCTTAGCTAATTTGTTTTTCACACCTTATACATATATATTTGTGTATATACATACACATACTGTTATTTTCAAACAAGAAGTAAACATAGTCTATTATCAGAAAATCAGTTTAGGAATCCAACATATTCTCCTTTACTACATGCCCTTTGATAATCAGTTTTCTCCCACTTAAAAAGAAATGGTGTACCTGCCTTCATTCATTTAAGGTCTCACCTTGGTGCACTGTCCTGATGTATAAATTTCCATGGTGCCTATCAAAGGACAACTTGAAATATTGATATTTATAAAGACTTCTTAAATTGAGACACCATAAATGTGTGATAGGGTTTGCATCTTTCCTTGCATTTATTATACCCATTTCCATCAAAGGCTAAGAGTGGAATTCTAGACAGGACAACTTGGCCCATACTGGAATGTTTTGAATTTAGATATACTGTGGAGAAGGGTAGCAGGAATGAAGACCATTTCTATTCATTGCTCCACTTTGTCCCTCCTCTGCGTACTGACATTGCTCCTGAGAGAGAGTCCTCAGAGGGATTAGGCACAAAATATTGAAGGTGCAGCCACTTTACTCAGTCTAAGTGACAAACTTATTTTAAGATGCAATCCCTGATTCATCCATCAGAATCATTTCTGGTTATCATGGGAAAATATATCAATTTTTTAAATTTCAATCGAAAAATGAAATCAGACATTTTGTGACAGAAAGCAAGTCTGTTTTGTCCAATTTGTTTGACAACGAGAATTGAATTTTTCAGCCAGGTTATAAGGTGAACATTTTTCATGAATTGAAAGATTTAAGTCTACAATTAAACATTTTGATGGAAATATATATACGTTTTACTTTTTATAAAAAATATGTATTGACACAGATGTATTGAAATAAGTGATATTTTTATTTTACCAACTCTTTCTGAGTATACTGAGTTAAATAAGGCACCTTTACATGAAAAAGTATCAGGAAAAACCGTCACTTGACAAGCCTTGGGAAAGCCTTTATGGTGCTTAGAAAGTCAATGGCTAATGACTGGGTTAAATCTTTTGGCAAGTCAGATGACTTCTAAGTTTTTATTTCTAATGAAATTGAAGGCTATTCTAATCTAACTGACTGTTTAAATATAATCTTACTACTATCTCACTGTGTGATTTTTAAAATAAGACCGCAAAAGAACTGAAAATAGCAACATTCTTCTAAAAAGTAAGATTTATTTCAATCTACTTATTTATGTTAAAAATATTTATCTGTATTTTTCAACTATAAAAAACAACCAAAAAAAAAAGAAATAAAATTGGGTGGACATAGTGGCAAACGCCTATAATCCCAGCACTTTGGGAGGCCAAGATGAGCAGATCACTTGAGGCTAGAAGTTCAAGACCAGCCTGGCCAACATGGCGAAACCTCATCTCTACTAAAGATACAAAAAATTAGCCTGGCATGGTGGCACATACCTGTAATCCCAGCTACTCAGGAGGCTGAGGCAGGAGAATCACTTGGCCCGGGAGACAGAGGTTGCAGTGAGCCAAAATCACTCCTTGCACTCCAGCCTGGGTAACAGAGGAAGACCCTGTCTCTAAATAAATAAATAAATAAATAAAAATACATGAAATATGTGTCTTACATATAATAAATATACAGTAAATATATTTAATATATATTTATATTTAGTATATATTTATAAAATAAATTTATTATTTTAAAATATTATATATATCCCCACAAATACATTTATATATATTGCTCATATGTGTGTGTATATGTGTGTGTATATATCAATATCTATATATATCTATATCTATATATGTATATATATCTATATATATCTATATCTATCTATCTATATATATAATCTATATATATAGATTATATATATTCCTCTTTCTCCACAAATACATCATGGCTTTCAAAACAAAAAAAATCCTTTAAGGATCTAGAACTAGAAATACCATTTGACCAAGCAATCCCATTACTGGGTATATACCCAAAGGATTATAAATCATTCTACTACAAAGACACATGCACACATATGTTTATTGTGGCACTATTCACAATAGCAAAGACTTGGAACCAACCCAAATGCCCATCAATGTTAGACAGGATAAAGAAAATGAGGCACATAGACACCATGGAATACTATGCAGTCATAAAAAGAAATGAGATCATGTCCTTTGCAGGGACATGGATGAAGCTGGTAACCATCATTCTCAGCAAACTATCACAAGAACAGAAAACCAAACACCGCATGTTCTCACTCATAAGTGGGAGTTGAACAATGAGAACACATGGACATAGGGAGGGGAACATCACACACCAGGGCCTGTCGGGGCTAGGGGAGGGATAGCATTAGGAGAAATACCTAATGTAGGTGACGGGCTGATGGGTGCAGCAAACCACCATGCCACGTGCATACCTATTTAACAAAACTGCATGTTCTGCTCATGTATCCCAAAACTTAAAGTATAATTTAAAAATTTTTAAAATCCTTTAAATGTTTTTCAAAATTTATAATATTTGCATATTAGTTTGATCAATTATGTACTACTAATATAATTTTTATCATAATTAAAACCTGACAAAAATTTTAACATAGTTTTATGATTATGGGAAATAGAGATTTTAATTTCAATTAATACATTTTTGTTGCATATAATTAAGATAAGCTATACAATAAAATATTTTCAAGCAATAAAGTGTATTATATTAGGTTAAATCTGACGGAGAAAAATGGATGACAGTATGAGTTCAAGAAAAATAACTGCCAACTATTAAGACATATTGTTCAGATTTTTTAAATGGTTGATGGTGGGTTTGATATCACTGTGGTATTTAGATTCCATTTGGATTCCATTGTTCCCTTTCTGTTGTATAGTTTTAGTTTACAATGGCAATATTTACAATAAACTGGAAACTATATCCTTTGCAACTCTTTAAAATAAGAAGGAACAATTTAGGCAGCAGCTTAACATTGTGTAAAGGTATATACAGAGATCACAGGAGAAAAAAGTTAGGGCCACATTAAAACTTTGTGTGTCTCCTTCATTTTGAATAAACAGAAGGGCAGTCACCCAGAAAAGATGTCTAACCAGATCCTTCATTTAGGCAAAGATTTCTACAGATTGTTGCAGTAAAGACTAAATAACATTTCCATCTATGACCATAAGTTGGATGTAACAAGGAAGGAGAGCTTTAAGCCAATTTTAAGTGAAAGAAGGGGAAAAAAAAAGATTTCCCTGAAGACTGCTAACCAGAAATAGTTTAATGGCTAAAAGTTTGCTCCTACCACATGATTTATGATATGCCTAGACAAACCAAATAAACCAGAGTTCAACAAGCACAGTTCCTTTGACTGATGCAATCCTTTTGACAGACTATTTGGATATCCCCATATGGTAACTTGAATGGTTGGAAGATGACTATGGTTAATACAGCTAAATTACCGAAAATGGTGGGTTAATTTGGGGCCACACTTAAGCCAGGGCACATAGCATACCTGTGAAATATCCAGGTGTGCATGAGTTGGTCTGATACCACTGAGAAAAGTAGAAGACTATCTTCTTCTTCTTCTTTGGTTTTTTTGTTTATTTGTTTGTTTGTTTGTTTGTTTTGAGATGGAATTTCACTATGTTGCCCAGGAATGCAGTGGCACAATCTCAGCTCACTGCAACCTCCACCTCTGGGGTTCAAGTGATTCTCCTGCCTCAGCCTCCCAAGCAGCTGGGATTACAGGCCCCCGCCACCATGCCTGGCTAATTTTTTGTATTTTTAGTAGACATGGGGTGTCACCATGTGAGGCAGGCTGGTCTTGAACTCCTGACCTCAGATGATCCACCCTCCTTGGCCTCCCAAAGTGCTGGGATTACAAGCATGAGCCACCCCACCCTGGCCTTCTTCTTTTAAATGACTTGAGCACTCCTCTTTTGACAGTGACTAAACGTAAGTGTTTTAAAAGGCTTGTTCATGCATTTGATTTCTTCTTTCTTTTATGTTGTACTGAGATATGTACAAATTGCACAAATCTTAATTGTAGACCTTGAATAAATTTTGAAATGCATATGCATATGGAACTTCCATACAGATAAAAATGTAGAATATTACTAATGCCAGAGAAGCCTCTTCTTGCACGCTCCCAGTCATTTTCAATCTTCTCTACCCCACCAAAGGTAGGCACTATTCTTCTAGGTAAGTTTAACCTACTTTTTGAACTTCATAGAACAGAATTATATAATAGATGCTCCTTTATGTCTGAAGATTGAAAAAACAAGTCAAATGATATGAGGGTAAATTGGCAATACATATATCCGACAAGGAACTTGTACCCAGGATATAGAAATAAAAATCAATAAGAAAAAGACAAAAAATCCAATTTAAAAACAGGAAAAAGACTTGAACAGGCTCATTGCTAAAGAGAACAGTCAAATGATATTTCATGCATCTTGACTATCCTCCTTTTAAGTCCTGATAGTAAAATGTTGCTGAGTTACTCAGGGTGTGAAAACAATCTGCTGTAGAAACCTTAGTTTTAAGGCAATTGTAGCTTTCATGTGAGGAAGAAGGAAGGAATTTAGCTACTGTAAGCATATATGCATCGAAAGCTGTGAAATCAGAGCTTGGCCTAAAATATAAAAAACATACACACACATTTATGAAAGAGGAAATTATATTAACTTTAAGAATTCTTCTACTGACCCAGAAATTTTGAAATTTAAATTATTTTTTAAATTGGCTGAAATCAAGTCTTGGAAAATTAGTGATGAATAAAGAGATTGAGTAACACACATTTCCTTAAAGGAAATAGAAGTGATAAATATCAAGTTATAAGAAAGCACTGTCAAATTTAAAATACATACAAAAATAAGAAAAACATATATTTGACAACATAGGAAGAGGTTAAGGGATATGATTAGTTAATACAATGATGAACAGTTTCAAAGGCCAAAAAAGTCACTTCCTATTCCTGGCATCCCTTTTTCTTTCTTCCTTTCTTCCCTCTTTCTCTTCTTTTCTTCCTTCCCTCCTTTCTATGCTCTTTATTGCTAAATGCTCTGCTACCTTTGATCTTGATTTTTCCTCATACTTCATTTACAATAACACATCCATTCTGATAGTGATAAGAAAGAATGCAGATTTTAATCTCAAAAGATTGTTTATTCAAATTAGCTAACATGTTTTTCACATATTCATAAAACATCTGTTGAACATCTATGCTGAAGGCACTGTGTAAGTAAAATGGAAAGCAAGATAAATAAAGCCTCTGACCTTAAGAAATAAAGAGTCCAGGGGAGGAGCCAAGATGGCCGAATTGGAACAGCTCCGGTCTACAGCTCCCAGCGTGAACGACGCAGAAGAAGGGTGATTTCTGCATTTCCATCTGAGGTACCGGGTTCATCTCACTAGGGAGTGCCAGACAGTGGGCACAGGTCAGTGGGTACACGCACCGTGCGCGAGCCGAAGCAGGGCGAGGCATTGCCTCACTTGGGAAGCGCAAGGGGTCAGGGAGTTCCCTTTCCGAGTCAAAGAAAGGGGTGACGGACGCATCTGGAAAATCGGGTCACTCCCACCCGAATACTGTGCTTTTCCAACCGGCTTAAAAAACAGCGCCCCACGAGACTATATCCCGCACCTGGCTCGGAGGGTCCTACGCCCACGGAGTCTCGCTGATTGCTAGCACAGCAGTCTGAGATCAAACTGCAAGGCGGCAGCGAGGCTGGGGGAGGGGCGCCCGCCATTGCCCAGGCTTCATTAGGTAAACAAAGCAGCCTGGAAGCTCAAACTGGGTGGAGCCCACCACAGCTCAAGGAGGCCTGCCTGCCTCTGTAGGCTCCACCTCTGGGGGCAGGGCACACACAAAAAGACAGCAGTAACCTCTGCAGACTTAAATGTCCCTGTCTGAAAGCTTTGAAGAGAGATCTCCCAGCACACAGCTGGAGATCTGAGAACGGGCAGACTGCCTCCTCAAGTGGGTCCCTGACCCCTGACCCCCGAGCAGCCTAACTGGGAGGCACTCCCCAGCAGGGGCACACTGACACCTCACACGGCACGGTATTCCAACAGACCTGCAGCTGAGGGTCCTGTCTGTTAGAAGGAAAACTAACAAACAGAAAGGACATCCACACCAAAAACCCATCTGTACATCACCATCATCAAAGACCAAAAGTAGATAAATCCACAAAGATGGGGAAAAAACAGAACAGAAAAACTGGAAACTCTAAAAAGCAGAGCGCCTCTCCTCCTCCAAAGGAACGCAGTTCCTCACCAGCAACGGAACAAAGCTGGATGGAGAATGACTTTGACAAGGTGAGAGAAGAAGGCTTCAGACGATCAAATTACTCTGAACTACAGGAGGACATTCAGACCAAAGGCAAAGAAGTTGAAAACTTTGAAAAAAATTTAGAAGAATGTATAACTAGAATAACCAATACAGAGAAGTGCTTAAAGGAGCTGATGGAGCTGAAAACCAAGGCTCGAGAACTACATGAAGAATGCAGAAGCCTCAGGAGCCTATGTGATCAACTGGAAGAAAGGGTATCAGCAATGGAAGATGAAATGAATGAAAAGAAGTGAGAAGGGAAGTTTAGAGAAAAAAGAATAGAAAGAAATGAGCAAAGCCTCCAAGAAATATGGGACTATGTGAAAAGACCAAATATACGTCTGATTGGTGTACCTGAAAGTGATGGGGAGAATGGAACCAAGTTGGAAAACACTCTGCAGGATATTATCCAGGAGAACTTCCCCAATCTAGCAAGGCAGGCCAACTTTCAGATTCAGGAAATACAGAGAACACCACAAAGATACTCCTCGAGAAGAGCAACTCCAAGACACATAATTTTCAGATTCACCAAAGTAGAAATGAAGGAAAAAATATTAAGGGCAGCCAGAGATAAAGGTCGGGTTACCCTCAAAGGGAAGCCCATCAGACTAACAGCTGATCTCTCAGCAGAAACCCTACAAGCCAGAAGAGAGTGGGGGCCAATATTCAACATTCTTAAAGAACAGAATTTTCGACCCAGAATTTCATATCCAGCCAAACTAAGCTTCATAAGTGAAGGAGAAATAAAATACTTTACAGACAAGCAAATGCTGAGAAATTTTGTCACCACCAGGCCTGCCCTAAAAGAGCTCCTGAAGGAAGCGCTAAACATGGAAAGGAACAACTGGTACCAGCCGCTGCAAAATCATGCCAAAATGTAAAGACCATCAAGACTAGGAAGAAACTGCATCAACTAACGAGCAAAATAACCAGCTAACATCATAATGACAGGATCAAATTCACACATAACAATATTAACTTTAAATGTAAATGGACTAAATGCTCCAATTAAAAGACACAGACTGGCAAATTGGACAAAGAGTCAAGACCCATCAGTGTGCTGTATTCAGGAAACCCATCTCACGTGCAGAGACACACATAGGCTCAAAATAAAAGGATGGAGGAAGATCTACCAAGCAAATGGAAAACAAAAAAAGGCAGGGGTTGCAATCCTAGTCTCTGATAAAACAGACTTTAAACCAACAAAGATCAAAAGAGACAAAGAAGGCCATTACATAATGGTAAAGGGATCAATTCAACAAGAAGAACTAACTATCCTAAATATATATGCACCCAATACAGGAGCACCCAGATTCATAAAGCAAGTCCTGAGTGACCTACAAAGAGACTTAGACTCCCACACATTAATAATGGGAGACTTTAACACCCCACTGTCAACATTAGACAGATCAACGAGACAGAAAGTCAACAAGGATACCCAGGAATTGAACTCAGCTCTGCACCAAGCGGACCTAATAGACATCTACAGAACTCTCCACCCCAAATCAACAGAATATACATTTTTTTCAGCACCACACCACACCTATTCCAAAATTGACCACATACTTGGAAGTAAAGCTCTCCTCAGCAAATGTAAAAGAACAGAGATTGTAACAAACTATCTCTCAGACCACAGTGCAATCAAACTAGAACTCAGGATTAAGAATCTCACTCAAAACCGCTCAACTACATGGAAACTGAACAACCTGCTCCTGAATGACTACTGGGTACATAACGAAATGAAGGCAGAAATAAAGATGTTCTTTGAAACCAACGAGAACAAAGACACAACATACCAGAATCTCTGGGACGCATCAAAGCAGTGTGTAGAGGGAAATTTATAGCACTAAATGCCCACAGGAGAAAGCAGGAAAGATCCAAAATTGACACGCTAACATCACAATTAAAAGAACTAGAAAAGCAAGAGCAAACACATTCAAAAGCTAGCAGAAGGCAAGAAATAACTAAAATCAGAACAGAACTGAAGGAAATAGAGACACAAAAAACCCTTCAAAAAATTAATGAATCCAGGAGCTGGTTTTTTGAAAGGATCAACAAAATTGATAGACCGCTAGCAAGACTAATAAAGAAGAAAAGAGAGAAGAATCAAATAGACACAATAAAAAATGATAAAGGGGATATCACCACTGATCCCACAGAAATACAAACTACCATCAGAGAATACTACAAACACCTCTACGCAAATAAACTAGAAAATCTAGCAGAAATGGATAAATTCTTCGACACATACACTCTCCCAAGACTAAACCAGGAAGAAGTTGAATCTCTGAATAGACCAATAACAGGATCTGAAATTGTGGCAATAATCAATAGTTTACCAACCAAAAAGAGTCCAGGACCAGATGGATTCACAGCCGAATTCTACCAGAGGTACAAGGAGGAACTGATACCATTCCTTCTGAAACTACTCCAATCAATAGAAAAAGAGAGAATCCTCCCTAACTCATTTTATGAGGCCAGCATCATTCTGATACCAAAGCCAGGCAGAGACACAACCAAAAAAGAGAATTTTAGACCAATATCCTTGATGAACATTGATGCAAAAATCCTCAATAAAATACTGGCAAAACGAATCCAGCAGCACATCAAAAAGCTTATCCACCATGATCAAGTGGGCTACATCCCTGGGGTGCAAGGCTGGTTCAATATACACAAATCAATAAATGTAATCCAGCATATAAACAGAGCCAAAGACAAAAACCACATGATTATCTCAATAGATGCAGAAAAAGCCTTTGACAAAATTCAACAACCCTTCATGCTAAAAACTCTCAATAAATTAGGTGTTGATGGGACGTATTTCAAAGTAATAAGAGCTATCTATGACAAACCCACAGCCAATATCATACTGAATGGGCAAAAACTGGAAGCATTCCCTTTGAAAACTGGCACAAGACAGGGATGCCCTCTCTCACCACTCCTATTCAACATAGTGTTGGAAGTTCTGGCCAGGGCAATTAGGCAGGAGAAGGAAATAAAGGGTATTCAATTAGGAAAAGAGGAGGTCAAATTGTCCCTGTTTGCAGATGACATGATTGTATATCTAGAAAACCCCATTGTCTCAGCCCAAAATCTCCTTAAGCTGATAAGCAACTTCAGCAAAGTCTCAGGATACAAAATCAATGTGCAAAAATCACAAGCATTCTTATACACCAACAACAGACAGAGAGCCAAATCATGAGTGAACTCCCATTCACAATTGCTTCAAAGAGAATAAAATACCTAGGAATCCAACTTACAAGGGATGTGAAGGACCTCTTCAAGGAGAACTACAAACCACTGCTCAAGGAAATAAAAGAGGATACAAACAAATGGAAGAACATTCCATGCTCATGGGTAGGAAGAATCAATATCGTGAAAATGGCCATACTGCCCAAGGTAATTTACAGATTCAATGCCATCCCCATCAAGCTACCAATGCCTTTCTTCACAGAATTGGGAAAAACTACTTTAAAGTTCATATGGAATCAAAAAAGAGCCCGCATCACCAAGTCAATCCTAAGCCAAAAGAACAAAGCTGGAGGCATCACACTACCTGACTTTAAACTATACTACAAGGCTACAGTAACCAAAACAGCATGGTACTGGTACCAAAACAGAGACATATGGAACAGAACAGAGCCCTCAGAAATAACGCCGCATATCTACAACTATCTGATCTTTGACAAACCTGAGAAAAACAAGCAATGGGGAAAGGATTCCCTATTTAATAAATGGTGCTGGGAAAACTGGCTAGCCATATGTAGAAAGCTGAAACTGGATCCCTTCCTTACACCTTATACAAAAATTAATTCAAGATGGATTAAAGACTTAAACATTAGACCTAAAACTGTAAAAACCCTAGAAGAAAACCTAGGCATTACCATTCAGGACATAGGCATGGGCAAGGACTTCATGTCTAAAACACCAAAAGCAATGGCAACAAAAGACAAAATTGACAAATGGGATCTAATTAAACTAAAGAGCTTCTGCACAGCAAAAGAAACTACCATCAGAGTGAACAGGCAACCTACAAAATGGGAGAAAATTTTCACAACCTACTTATCTGACAAACAGCTAATATCCAGAATCTACAATGAACTCCAACAAATTTACAAGAAAAAAACAAACAACCCCATCAAAAAGTGGGCGAAGGACACGAACAGACACTTCTCAAAAGAAGACATTTATGCAGCCAAAAAACACATGAAAAAATGCTCATCATCACTGGCCATCAGAGAAATGCAAATCAAAACCACAATGAGATACCATCTCACACCAGTTAGAATGGCAATCATTCAAAAGTCAGGAAACAACAGGTGTTGGAGAGGATGTGGAGAAATAGGAACACTTTTACACTGTTGGTGGGACTGTAAACTAGTTCAACCATTGTGGAAGTCAGTGTGGTGATTCCTCAGGGATCTAGAACTAGAAATACCATTTGACCCAGCCAACCCATTACTGGGTATATACCCAAAGGACTATAAATCATGCTGCTATAAAGACACATGCACACGTATGTTTATTGCGGCATTATTCACAATAGCAAAGACTTGGAACCAACCCAAATGCCCAACAATGATAGACTGGATTAAGAAAATGTGGCACATATACACCATGGAATACTATGCAGCCATAAAAAATGATGAGTTCATGTCCTTTGTAGGGACATGGATGAAATTGGAAACCATCATTCTCAGTAAACTATCGCAAGAACAAAAAACCAAACACCGCATATTCTCACTCATAGGTGGGAATTGAACAATGAGATCACATGGACACAGGAAGGGGAATATCACACTCTGGGGACTGTGGTGGGGTGGGGGAGGGGGGAGGGATAGCATTGGGAGATATACCTAATGCTAGATGACGAGTTAGTGGGTGCAGCGCACCAGCATGGCACATGTATACATATGTAACTAACCTGCACAATGTGCACATGTACCCTAAAACTTAAAGTATAATAAAAAAAAGAAGAAGACAATTTATTTATCTGTTCCAATGATGGGCATCTAGGTTGTTTCCAGTTTCTAATATTGTAAATTTATTGCAGTGAATGTCCTGATACTGTTTTTTTGCTCCACTGTGTAAGAGTTTTTCTATAATAAACAGCAGGGGAGAAAGTGGGAAGGGAAAAAAAAAAAAGAAATAAAGAGTCCAGTAGTCGAAAAAGTCATGTGGGAAAATGTCATAATTCATTGTAAATAGTAGTATTGGTTACACTAGAAATAAAATCACTGATATTTGTACTTGACCTGGGGAAAGGGTGGATAAAGTGATTAAAAATGAGAAGGTGATACTTGACTGGTTTAATATCTTATATGAGTAGTGTTGTACACCTGAAGCAAAACTTGGACAAATGTCTTGGGAATGTCTTTCCTGATGATTTTCTTTCCCATGCCTCCCTAATCATGGAAGTCAGCCTTTAGTCCAAAGATAAGGGTATATAAAAAAGCTCTATGGCAGTAATTTGCTAGATGAGAACAGAGAATTATTGCTATTTTCTAATTCTACTCTGACCTTGGTATTCTAGAACTGAATAACTCTTTCTAAACTTGTACCACATTCCACAAGTTGTTGGATTTTTCTGACCCTGAATCCTAATATCCCACTAACTTCATTCCTGATACCTACATGTAAACTATCCTCATGTAGCATTTTTAATGCTTAGATCACCATCCATCATCTTTCTTTCATTCTTGCTTCTGCTTGCCACATCCTGAACTCTGGTTAGTCCTTGGTTAAGAATACCTTCATCCATTTGGGTCTGTTTGTTTCTTTGTATTTTAACCCTGGAAAGACTTCCTGGTTTCAGATAGTCTTTCTGGTTTCATAGTCCATCTGCCCTTCCCCAAAATAACAAAGAGATGTCTTATCTTGCTTCCTCCTGGTCTTCACCTATCTCTAAAACACCTTCACTCTCTAGATCCCAGGTTTTCCTAGGCTGGCTGGTCTTACAGCTGTGGAAGTTCCATGCACCACAAGGAGACAGCAGAAAGAGATTTTCTTTTAAGTAAATGTAATTAATCCAAATCAGGATATCACTTTTTAAATCTTTGTATGTACCATTTGTATGTATTTCATGAATTTCCTTTATGCTTTTATAATACACTGAGTCGTATCCTGGAGTCATTTTCTCAAAGTCTGGTTTACCTGCATCTGAGTATCCTAAGGGTACTTGAAGATTCCTAGACTCCACTGCAACCCACGGAATGAGAAACTCTGGGCCTGAGGCTTACATATCAGAATTTTTCTTAACAAACTCCAAAGGTAATTCTTATACACTCCAAAGTCTACAAACAACTGAAATAGAACAACTTTATGAACAGACTGACCATCAACAAATTTCAGTATTTACTTTTGCCTACTCTTTGATTGGAATTATGGGAGAAATTTAAGGGACTGTCAGAAACAAGATTTTTTGAACTGATTGCTAGGGGAGGTTGAGGTGGGAAGATGATGAGTTCAGCTTTGGACAGGAAGAAATTCACATGAGACCGCTGGAAATAAGAGGTTGAAGGGGAAGTGAAAGATCTGTAAATTATCAAAGGCTCTGTGGAACTGAACAATGTAACAGTCAATATTTCTTACTTGTTTTCCTATTTCAATTCTTTAATAAACCCAGATTTTAATATTATTGGTGCCCATCTCTTAGCTAGTCATAGGAAAACCAAGTTAATAAGAAAAAAATGCTACCCAATATTCTTTCATGGTAGGTATCGGTGACTATTTGTCAAATACATGCTCAAAAATTTACACAAGTCTGAAAATTTTGGCAAACTTAGAGGCTGGCTACAACATGCCAACAGCTACTTCTTCATTCCTGTCTCCCCTAGTTTGACTTAAAGTTTTCTGCTAGCTCCTACTGTGAACTCAGGTGTTTCATCAGGGACAAATTATTATTAAAACAGTTTTACAACCATTATTGATTTATATATCTGTCTCCCAATACATCAGCTTTCAATTGCTGCTGTAACAAATTACCACAAACTTAGTGGGCTAAAACAACACAAATTTATTATTACCAAGTCCAACATGGTCCTCACTGGGCTAAAGTCAAGGTGTTGGAAAAGCCACAGTCCTCCCTGGAGGCTCTAGGAAAGAAGCACTTCCATGCTTTTTCCAGATTTTAAAGGATACCTGATTTCCTTGGCTCATGGCCTCTTTATTCTGTTTTCAAGGCCAACAATGTCACTTCTCATTCTGTCTGCTGGGAAAGGTTGTCAGCCTTTAAGGAATCATGTGATTGGGTTGGACCCATTCAAATAATCCAGAATAATCTTCCAATCTCAAAGTCCTTAACATCAATCACAAATGCAAGGTCTTTTTGCCATGTAAAGAAAGAAACACAATTACAAATTTTAGGGGTTAGTACAGTTTGGAGCAGCCATGATTCTGCTTACCATACCCTACAAAACCATGTACCTCTTAAGAGAAAGGAACATGCCTTTCTATCTTCATTTTTGCAATGTTCAATATGATGGAAGCTTGATAATGTTTGTTAAATGTTGTTGAGTGAACATGAGTTAGAGGTCGATGGTGACATTTATACCTTTCTGTAGAAAGGAGCAATATTCACAAACTAAAATGCCTCAAAGATGTCATAAAGATAATGTACACTTTTAAGGGACGTTTTAACTACTAGTAGTTATTACCTACTCAAATTATTCTTACTAAAGGTGAAATTAAATGAAATAAAAGAAGAAACAGTCTTCTTGAAAAGTTAGTAAACTCTTGAGAGGTTATTTTATACATTCTTCAATTTTTTTGTACTCTGCTAGACTACCTGCTCATACAATTTGTATATCCCTTATCTTGCCTATATAGCACACTAAGTGTGGCAGATTCTTTGGAAAAATAGATGCAATAATTCTTCCATGCTTATAATATGCATATTCCTTTGCAATGCAACTTTGCCATTCATTGCTCCCATTAGAAAATCTAGTGGAGTCTATTTCCGTACACTTCAGGTCTCGTCTTAGATATATGATTTGCTTTAGCCAATGGGACATCAGCAAATATAAAGCAGAGCTTGAACAGTGCTTGCTGATTAGGGCTGGCCTTCCCTTGTGTGGTGAACCTCTCTGATACCTTATAAAGAAGCACAGGATAGCCTCAATGAGAGTTAAGAGGCCATATGGGAAGAGGCTCCAGATGTCCCAGCTAAAGTACCAGATATGTAACAAAACCATTCTAGACCATCCAGGTTAACCCAAACCAGCCCAGATGAGACACACTGACTTACCAATCCACAGAATTGTGAGATTAAAAAAATGTAAGTGTAATGTTTTAAGCCACTAAACTTTGAGGTGGTTTGTTAAACAGCAAAAACTGATAGATCCAAAAATTCCTTTCACAGAAACTGTGCAGTAAGGGTCAACACATTCTACCTCCCATCTGCTCAGTGAAGAACAAACTTACTGTATAGTCCTTGGCATCTGGTGTAAATTTATCTTATTCACTTTTCTCATTTTTTACAGTAATTCTCTTAAGTCTCATCAGTGATTTTCTCCTGAAGGAGTCCAGACCATTTTTTAAATTTTGTTTACTACACTTTAACTACATTAATCCCTAGTTTGCCATTACTGCATGTAATTTTTTATAACAGGAGCAAAGCTTTCAATGAAGTCCTTTCTATAAGAGCCCCCCAATTGAGAAGTGCCTAAATCCCCATTAGGGGAATAGCTAAATAAATTATGGAATTTGATGGAATAATATTCAGCCACTGAAAATTATGGTTTTTGAAAATATTTAGGAACAATGAAAACACTTATACTGTAATATAAAGTGAAAAGAGTAGGATTCAAAATTATGAATATAGCTATTCATATATCCATACAAAGAATGAAGGACATACATTGGGATTTTAACAGTAGCTATCTCTAGATAATGATATTTAAATGATTACTTGCTGGCTTCTAAAATGGTTTTCTTGCCAATCTTATACAATACATATTTATTATTTTTATAAACAGGAAAAAATTGTGTAAATCATAGTCTCACTTTATCCCATGTTTCTCCAAATTAATCTTTAAAATTTATTTTGTAAATTACATGAATCAATATTTAAAAGTAACAAGTAAATCTTCTTTCAGCCTCTAGAGTTTAAACTGAAACCTCAAGGCTTTTTTCAAGAAAGTATCTAATATGGACACTATAGTAGGTAAAAAATTTAAAACCAAATGAAATATAAATGAAGAAATATTGAGAGATACTACAGCCTCAACCATACAGGTGCATTCACTCTGTTTTTAGAAATGACAATCAGGACTATTGGGAAAATGGCAGATAGGAGACAGGACTGATGTGCAGCTCCTACTTGGACAGACAGAAAAGCGTCTAGAGACTCACATTCTGAACTTTTGCTCCAAGAACCACTTCAGGAACATACCAGGAAAACCAAAAGAATTCACAGACCCTTTGAAAGAAGCAGCTTGCCACTGCAAACACAGTGAGACAGCTAAAAAACTGTGAGTTCCCGGCTGGGCACGGTGGCTCATGCCTGTAATCCCAGCATTTTGGGAGGCCGAGGCAGGCTGATCACGAGGTCAGGAGATCAAGATCATCCTGGCTAACATGGTGAAACCCCATCTCTACTAAAAATACAAAAAATTAGCCGGGCGTGGTGGCGGGCACCTGTAGTCCTAGCTACTGGAGAGGCTGAGGCAGGAGGATGGCGTGAACCCAGGAGGTGGAGCTTGCAGTGAGCTGAGATGGCACCACTGCACTCCAGCCTGGGTGACAGAGTGAGACTCTGTCAAAAAAAAAAAAAAATGTGAGTTCCCAAAGTGTGACAGGGGGGAAAAGTCACCTCCTAACACACATCCTCACTGAGTAACCTGAAAATCCAGATGACGGGAGGAGGATTTAACCTTACTTAGAGCTGAAACAGATTTAGGGAGTTGAGTGAAATGTAGAAGCAGCAGCAGGAAGAGCCCTGTAGGCAATCCCAGTCCACAGCTCGAGTTCAGGGAAGCCATTCCTGGCCTTATCTCACAGAGGTCCTTGGGGAAATTCCAGAAGGCAGGTAGTGGAGTAGGGGAGGGGCCAGAGAGTGAAGGAAGCTCCTAGCTGAACTCTGTAATAATTTCGACTGAGCACAAATTTTCCTGAAGAGAATCCCGGGGTGTGAACGAGAAGTGCAGATATGAATGCAGAAGCTGCAGCAGTAGGTGCAGGCAGACAGGGAGGGTCCAGGCCTGAGATCCCTGCTTTCTTTCTCAGCAGGGAGGCTTGTAGCCTGGGGCAAGATCTCAGCTGGCTGGCTGCCTGAATATAAACTCAGTGAGCCTGGGGGTGACATGGTGGGAGTGAGACTGTCCCAGCTGGCAATGTGGGAGCTGGGTAAGGCCTGTCACTGCTGGCTTTCCCCTACTTCCCTGTTGACCAGTATGATGCAGCAGATGCAGCCATAATCCCCCTGGAAACATAACTCCAGTGGCCTGAAATCCACTGCTGCCAACCCCTGCAGTGGCTGCAGCAAGCCCTGCCCAAGAAGAGTCTGAGCCCAGACCAGCCTAACCCTTCCCCTACCTGATAGTTTTTCAATACCTGCCCTGGTAGCTGAAGACAAAAGACATAAACTCTTGGGAAACCAATGGCCCCACCCATCTCCTGAGAAACCCAAGTATGCATCCCAGCCAACATAAGGCAAGATTATATCCTCCTCTACTACCACAACTGGTAATTTCTTGAAAGCACCACCTCCTGCTGGAGGCCAACCAACTCAAGCCACTACAGTAACTCACAACAGAATAACCATGCTCCAAAAGGGAGAAAACAACACCAAATTCAACCACCTGCAACACACTGGCTAGCCAGAGGTCCTGAGTCTGTCCACATGACAACTTTACTGCTTGCATAACCAGCATTTGAGGAAACCAGCACACAAAGCAAAACTACAACCAAAGACCCCCACAGAGTCCACTTCACTCCCCTGCCACCTCCACTGAGCAGGTGCTGGTATCCACAGCTGGTAGACCGGAAGATGGATCACAGAACTCTTTATAGACATTTCCTAGCACCCGCATATAGCCTGGTAACCCTGCTGGGTGGCTAGACCCAAAAGGGCAATAACAACCACAGCAATCTGGCTCTTAGGAAGCCCCATCCTTAGGGGAATGGGAATAATACCACATCATTGATCCTGTGGGACAAAAGAATCTGAGCAGAAGCCCTTGATTTTAAGATCTTTCCACTGAAACAGTCTACCCAAATCTGAAGGGACCAGAAAAGTAGTTCTGGTAATATTACAGAGTTCTATAACACCCCCCAAAAATCACACTAGATCTCCAACAATAGATCCAAACCAAGGAGAAATCTCTGAATTGCCAGAGAAGGAATTCAGAAGGTTGATTATTAAGCTACTCAAGGAGGCAACAAAGAAAGGTGAAAACAACTTAGAAATTTTTTTTTTTTTTTTTTTTTTTGAGATGGAGTCTCGCTCTGTCGCCCAGGCCAGACTGCGGACTGCAGTGGCGCAATCTCGGCTCACTGCAAGCTCCGCTTCCCGGGTTCACGCCATTCTCCTGCCTCAGCCTCCCGAGTAGCTGGGACTACAGGCGCCCGCCACCGCGCCCGGCTAATTTTTTGTATTTTTAGTAGAGACGGGGTTTCACCTTGTTAGCCAGGATGGTCTCGATCTCCTGACCTCATGATCCACCCGCCTCGGCCTCCCAAAGTGCTGGGATTACAGGCGTGAGCCACCGCGCCCGGCCAGAAAATATTTTTAAAAATACAGGATATGGATGTAAAGGTCTCCAGAGAAATAGATATCATTAAAAAAAAAATCACAACTTCTGGAAATGAAAGACACACTAAAGAAATACAAAATGCACTGGGAAGTTTCAACAATAGAATAGAACAAGTAGAAGAAAGAACTTTAGAACTCAAAGATAAGGCTCTTGAATTAACCCACTCTGACAAAGACAAAGAAAAAAAGAATAAAATAAATAAACAAAGCCTCCAAGAATTTCAGTATTATGTGAAATGATCAAATGACCAAACTTAAGAATAACTGATGTTCCTGAAGAAGAAGAGAAAAATAAAAGTTCGGAAAATTTATTTGAGGGTATAATTGAGAAAAATTTCCCTGGTATAGGTAGAGATCTGGACATCCAAATATAAGAAGCTGAAAGAACACCTGGGAAATTCATCACCAAAAGATCATCACCTAGGCACACAGTCATCAGGTTATCTAAAGTCAAGATGAAGGAAAGAATCTTAAGAGCTGTGAGATAATAGCATCAGGTAACCTATGGGGGAAAACCTGTAAGATTAACAGCAGATTTATCAGGACAAACCCTGCAAGCAAGAAGGGATTGGGTTCCTATCTTTAGCCTCCTGGATTAAAACAATTATCAGCCAAGAATTTTGTGTCTGGTGAAACTATGCTTCATAAATGAAGGAGAGAGAAAGTATTTTTCAGACAATCAAATGTGGAGATAATTTGTCACTACCAAGCCAGCACTACAAGAAATGCTAAAAGGAGTTCCAGATCTTGAAACAAAACCTCAAATTACACCAAAATATAACTTCCTTAAAGCATAAATGTCACAGGGCCTATAAAACAATAACACAATGAAAAAAAAAGATATTCCAGCAAGAACCAGCATGATGAATAGAACGGTACCTGACATCTCAATACTAATGTTGAATGTAAATGGCCTAAATGTTCCACTTAAAAGATACAGAATGGCAGAATGGATACAAATCAACCAACCCAGTATAATATCTGCTGTCTTCAAGAGACTCATCTGACATATAAGGATGCACATAAACTTAAGATGAAGGGGTAGAAAAAGATATTCCATGCAAATGGAAACCAAAAGCGACAAGAGTAGCTATTCTTATATCAGACAAAACAGACTTTAAAGCAACAACAGTTAAAAAAGACAAAGAGCAACATTATATAATGATAAAAGGATTAGTCCAACAGAAAAATATCGCAATCCTAAATGCATATGCACCTAAAACTGGAGCTGCCAAATTTACAAAACAATTACTACTAGACTTAAGAAATGAGATAGATAGCAACACAATAATACTGGGTGACTTCAATACTCCACTAACAGCACTAGACAGGTCTCGAAGGCAGAAAGTCAACAAAGAAACAATGGACTTAAACCATACCTTAGAACAAATGGACTGATTTACAGAACATTCTACCCAACAACTGCAGGATATACATTCTTTTCATCAGTGCATGGAACATTCTCCAAAATAGATCGTATAATTGGCCACAAAATATGTCTCAATAAATTTAAGAAAATAAAAATTATAAAAAATTTAAGAAAATAAAAATAAAAATAAGAGTACTTAATAAAAAATATTAAGTACTCTCTCAGACCACAATGGAATGAAATTGGAAATTAACTCCAAAAAGAACGCTGAAAACTATAGAAATACATGGAAATTAAATAATCTGCTCCTGAATGCTTTTTGGCTCCACAAGGACATCACAATGGAAATTTAAAAATTCTTTGAACTGAATACCAATAGTGACACAACCTATCAAAACTTCTGGGATACTGCAAAAGCAATGCTAAAAGGAAAGTTAAGCATTTAATGCCTACATCAAAAAGTCTGAAAGAGCATAGACAGTCCGAGATCACACCCCATGGAACTAGAGAAACAAGGACAAACCAAATCCAAACCCAGCAGAAGAAAAGAAATAACCAAGATCAGATCAGAACTAAATAAAATTGAAACAAAAAAAACACAAAAGATAAATAAAACAAAAATTTGGTTTTTTGTAAAGATAAACAAAATTTGTATACTTTTAGTGAGATTAACCAAGAAAAGAAGAGAGAAGATCCAAATAAGCTCAATTAAAAATGGAACAGGATATACTAATATTACAACCAATACCACAGAAATACAAAACATCATTTAAGGCTACTATGAACACCTTTATCTACACAGACTGGAAAACCTAGAGAAGAAGGATAAATTTTTGGAAATACCCAACCATCGTAGATTAAACCAAGAAGAAACAGCAACTTTGAACAGACCAGTAACAAGTAGCAAGATTGAAACAGTAATAATAAAATTGCCAACAAAAAAAGTCCAGGACCGGATGGATTCATAGCTGAATTCTATCAGATGTTCAAAGAAGAAATGGTACCAATCCTACTCAAACTATTCCAAAAGATAAAGAAAGAGGGAATCCTTCTTGAATCATTCTGTGAAGCCAGTATTACTCTAATACCTAAACCAGGAAAGAACATAACAAGGGAAAGAAAACTATAGACCAATATCCCTGATGAACAGAGATGCAAAAATCCTCAACAAATTACTAGCTACCAAATCCAACAGCATTTCAAAAAGATAATCCACCATGATGAGGTAGATTTCATACCAGGGATGCAGGGTTGTTTTAACATACACAAGTCAATAAACGTGATACACCACATAAAGAGAAGTAAAATCAAACATCATGTGATGATCTCAATTGATACAGAAAAAGGATTTGACAAATTCCAGCATTGCTTTATGATTAAATGCCTCAGCAAAACTGGCATAGAAGGTAATAAAAGCCATCTATGACAAACCCACAGCCAACATTACACTAAATGAGGAAAAGTGAAAAGCATTTTCCTTGAGATCTGAAACAAGACAACGATGCCAGCTTTCACTACTTCTATTCAACATAGTACTGGAAGTCCTAGCCAGAGCAATCAGACAAGAGAAAGAAACATCCAAATCAGTAAAGAGGAAGTCAAACTGTCCCTATTTGCCAATGATATGATGTATACTTTGAAAACCCTAAAGACTCATCCAAAAAGCTCCTAGATCTGATCAATGAGTTCTGTAAAGTTTCAGGATACAAAATCAATGTACATGAATCAGTAGCACTGCTATACACCAACAGCCACTAAGCGGAGAATCAAATCAAAAGCTCAACCCCTTATACAACAGCTGCAAGAAACAAAAAGATAACAACAACAACAACAACAAAGAACCACTTAGAAATATAACTAACCAAGGAGGTAAAAGGCCTCTACAAGGAAAACTACAAAACACTGCTGAAAGAAATTATAGATAATACAAACAAATGGAAACACATCCCATGCTCATTGATGGGCAGAATAAATACTGTGAAAATGACCATACTGCCGAAAGCAATCTATAAGTTCAATGCAATTCCCATCAAAATACCATCATCATTCTTCACAGAACTAGAAAAAACAATTCTAAAATTTGTATGAAGCAAAAAAATAGCCCATGTAGCCAAAACAGTACTAGGCAAAAAGAACAAATATGGAGGCATCACATTACCTGACTTCAAACTATACTACAAGGCTATAGTTACCAAAACAGCATGGTACTGGTATAAAAACAGGCATATAGACCTATGGAACAGAATAGAGAACCCAGAAATAAAGCCAAATACTTACAGCCAACTGATCTTTGACAAAGGAAACAAAAACATAAAGTGGGGAAAGGACACCCTATTCAACAAATGGTGCTGGAATAATTGGCAAGCCACATGTAGAATAAAACTGGATCCTCATCTCTCACTCTATATAAAAATCAACTCAAGATGGATCAAACACTTAAATCTAAGACCTAAAACCATAAAAATTCTAGAAGAAAACATCACAAAAGCTCTTCCAGATATTGGCTTAGGCAAAGACTTCATGATCAAGAACCCAAAAAGAAATGCAACAAAAACAAACATAAATAGATAGGACTTCATTAAGGTAAAAGGCTTCCTCATAGCAAAAGAAATAATCAACAGAGTAAACAGACAACCCACAGAATGGGAGAAAATCTTCACAATCTATACATCTGACAAAGGACTAATATGCAGAATCTACAAGCAACTCAAACAAATCAGCAAGAAAAAAACTAAATAATCCCATTAAAAAGTGGGCTAAGGACATAAGTAGACAATTCTCTAAAGAAGATATACAACTGAGCAACAAACAGATGAAAAAATGCTCAACATCACTAATTATCATGGAAATGCAAATCAAAACCACAATGCAATACCACCTTACTCCTGCAACATTGACCATAATTAAAAAATCAAAAAATAATAGATGTTGGTGTGGATATGGTGAAAAGGGAACACTTTTACACTGTTGGTGGGAATATAAACTAGTACAACCACTATAGAAAACAGTATGGGGATTCATTAAGGAGCTCTAAGTAGAATTACCATTCAATCCAGCAATCCCACTACTAGGAATCTACTCAGAGGAAAAGAAGTTATTATATGAAAAAGACACTTGCACATGCATGTTTAGCACCAAAATTCACAACTGCAAAGACATGGAACCAACCTAAGTGTCCATCAACCAATGAGTTGATGGCATTTACAGCAACCTGGATGGCAGGTTGAAATTCACAGCAACCTGGATGCAGTTGGAAACCATTATTCTAAGTGAAGTAACTCAGGAAGGTAAAACCAAATATTATATGTTCTCACTTATAAGTGAGAGCTAAGCTATGAGGACAAAAGGCATAAGAATGATATAATGAACTCTGAGGACTTGCAGGGGAAGGGTGGGAAGAGGGTGAGGGATAAAAAACTACATATCGGGTACAGTGTACACTGCTTGGGTGATGGGTGCACCAAAATCTCAGAAATCACACCTAAAGAACTTATCCATATAAACAAACACCACTTGTTTCCCAAAAATTATTGAAATGATAATTTTAAAAAACAAAGATAATAATCAGTCACATCGTGAGGCTTTTTTCCTCAAAATGTTATTTTTTGATATAAAATAATGTATAAAATTTATTAGTTAGACTAACCTAAGTGTCCATGAAAAATAGTATTTTCATTATATATTATTTGAGCAAAGACACAAATATTGTACTCTTAGTAATACACTTGTTTTTCATAAGGATATAGATAACAATTGTAAAACTACTTGTGTATTTAGGATTTAGCAAAGAAGTAAGTATACCATGTGTAAGGAGAGTCAAATACCTCATTGCCAGAAGAATTTACCAGTAAGGTAAGGGAGAAAGTTAGAATGGACATATGTTTTTGGATTAGAATTGGATGTTATCAGTATGAACATATATTTTTAAAAGTGCAGATAGATATAGAAGTGCAGATAGATATAGATAGATATATAAATTGTATGTAAGAATGGGTGCATGCACGTGCATACGCACATATGCACTGAGGTAAACACAAATCACTTCACTATTCTTGATAACAGTGAATAATATGAATTTGAACATGAGAACCTCATTCAAATATCTCAATCTAAATTCAAATTGAGATATATTTATTCTGTAAAATACTATTACTCTTAGAAGATACCAATATCGAGAATAGAAAGCTAAGACTGAAGAACTGCTCATACTCGCCAAAGCCAAGGAGACATGACAACTAAATGCAGTTTGGGAATTCGGGACTGGGTCTTGGACCAGATAAAGAACACTAGTTGGAAAACTGGAGAAATTGAATAAGGACTGTAGATTGGTTAATAGTAATATATCAATATTAATTTCCTGGCTTTGATGGTTTTATTATGATTATATAAGATGTTAACATATGAAGAAGATGGGTGAAGGAATTCTTTATACCATTTTTGGAGGTGTTTTGTAGGTCTGGAAATATTTCAAAATTAAAAGTTAAAAAAAGTTTTAACGTGGAGCAAGGAAATTTTATTTTGATGTCATGCAAATTCTCTTCTAAAAATTATTCCTATATCTGCATTTAATTGTCATTTTATCTTTTTTAATGACTTTCCTTGCTGTAGCATTAATGCCTCTATAAGTGGCAAAAGGAATAAAATCTCACCATTTCTTCTTCCAATAATTTCCTTCTCTCCTTTTCAAATTGACTTATGTTATTCTCTCACTAAACCTGTTAAGAGAGAAATTCTTACTAATTTTTCTAAAATTTTATGTATTACACAGCATTTTGTAAACTTCTAACACCATTGAAATACTATAATAATGTGATTCTGGACACGGTGGTTAAATAATTACTACTATCTTGATAGCTACTCAGAATAATGTAGTTAAAGCATTATTCTAAATTCTATAATTAAATAATTAGACTTGTCTTGCTTGCATGCTACTTTTCTTATTATCTCTGTTTTTCTTTACTTTTTCTTCCTGAGGCAATTCTGACATATCTCTGGAATGTGCTGGGGTTTTATTTTTGTTTGTTTTGGTTTTTTGGTTTTTGGATATTTTTACTGTTTCCTAGAGTGGGATCATTTCATTTTTCAAGTGATTTTCTTTTCTTCTTTTTTCTTTAGTTTTTCTTTTCCCTTTTCTTTTTTAATTTAATATACATAATGCCAAATTATCATCAGCCTTTTTTAAATGTACAGTTCAGTAATGTTAAGTGTATTCACATTGTTAAACATGTTCTGGAGATTGGTTCATTTCCTTTTTTATTTTTATTCATGTACCCCCCAAAAATACAAAGCAAAGATGATTTGTTTTATTCTGGAGAATCATTAAGGAGAGTGTATTTCTCTTTTTATAAACCACTTTTTCAGGCATTTCAAATTAGCTACATGAGATATGAATAAAAGTATTAGAAGTAATTTTGAACTAAAATGATTAGAAACAAAAACCAAGCTTGGAGAAGCAGAGAGCTAAAACACAGTTACGTGCCTCTCGTATAGAACTTGTCTATCCAGTGAACTCAACTGTCCAGACTACAACTTATGAGATAAGTATGTAAATAGAAGGTCTCTAAGGGAACAAAATTAATGTTACACAATCCATGTCTTAAAGTTTGTATGTCTCAGGTACAGAAGCATCTCATGCCTTCATTTAAGAGTTACTCCTTACTTTAAGGGCAAAATTACTACAAGCTACAAATAGAAAATACGAGATAAAAAAGAGGGACTCTTGTAGGCAATATTGGCTCTATATTGCAAAAAGGGTACATGTGGAAAGAAGCAGAAAAAAACATGAAAAGCAGACACAATAATATTATAAATAAACAGAAAAAAATGGGTGTATTGTTAAGGAATAAAAGTGTCCTTCACATCTCAAAATTCCAAGGGGCTATCATAAAGTTAAAAAACATTATGACAACTGACACTTATAACAATATTGTCAGTATATTCTACTTTTAAATATAAGGGGTGAAAATAAATTCTCACTAAGTGATTTCTATGTTTTGGTATTGAGAGGTTTAACTTATATGATACATGCTGCATTTTAGAAGCCTTTCCATCTAAAAAATACAGTGGCTTTTGCTTTGTATTTCCTCTTTTGTTTAAATTTTGGGCACTTCACACCAATGTGGGAGACAGACTTATGCAAGGAGTTTGTACCATAATCATTATTTTTCCAAAACCAAATGTCACACAACTAGTTATTCTAGTTTTCCAATTAAAAAAAATCACAACGCCAGTAATGAGAATCCTATTATTTCAAAGTGTATTTTTTCCCCAAATGCTGACATTCAGTTAAAATTTTACTAGACATGTAGCATTGGAACAAGATGACAAAGGTAAACACTAAAGAAAAGTCTGGAGAGATCAGATGAAAAATGCTTCAAGACATTCACTGGGAAATGACCAAGGTCATTTATGGAAAATGTTGTCTCAAGTAGATGCCATTGGACAAATAACAAAGGCTTAAAAGGAAAATACCAATAAAACTTGAGACTATGAACTATGCGAGGTCAAGAATCCTGGCTCTCTTCAGCACTATATTGCCAATGCCTGTCATATGGAGCAAAGAAGGTTTAAGGCAACGTTAGGACCTGGCCTGGATGCTTTCCACACACTATTACTCTTCTCATTTTCTTAGTGTTCCAGTGAGCTAAGAATATATGACACAGGAAGCAAGCACATTTCCTTTCTGGATTTTAAGTAATTTACTGTAACGGATCCTATAGATCTAAAATGGCATTTTTAAAAATTAGCTCACAAAACCTCCCCAGAGTTTTTGTAATGAAAGCTTTATCAGACATTTTAATGAGCACACCAGCACCATACTAACTGCTGTGTCCACAGAGCATTATTTTTGTCCTAGCCTGCCCTATGTCTGCTTTGAATACATTCAGTGAAAGAAATTTCACAACCTGGGTCCTCTGTATTCAATGTTGCAAGCTGAAACATGAATAACTGGCATTTTTCATTCTTGTCTTTATCAAAATATGTTGAGTGTCTACTATTACCAGTGACTCTATTAAACACAGGAAATACACTGGAGAAGAAAACACAGAATCTTGTCTTACAAATCTTATACTTTGATATGGAAGATACAGGCCCCCAAAAAGCAAGAAAATTAACAAATAAGAAAAATTATAAGAAGTACTGGAGGAAATACATGGGGCTGAAATAAGAACAACAAAAGGAGGTAAAATGGAATACAACTTAGCCAAGAGAGGCTTTCCTGAAGAGGTGACATTTAAGCTAAAATTTGAAGAATGATGCAAAGCTCAGATTGAAAAAACATTGGTGAAGACCACCACCTGAAGCAGAAAGGACCTTGCCATGTTAAGGAATTGCAACAAGACCAGGACTGCTGAAACCTAGTGAAGAGACCATAGTCGAGAGTGGGGTTTTTCTCTTAAAAGCTTTGAGAAGCCATGGAAGGCGGTTCGAGAAGGGATTTACATACCAAATTTATAGGACCTACTTATATAGGATGTATTTTCTTAGCTCCTAAACTAAATTAAATAAATACTGCTAATTTGAATTTGATTTTCTCTAATATTTTCCATAAAGTATTTGAAAAAAAAAGGTTTCACTAACCATTATTGCTTGAATTTGTTTATGCTAAAGTCAAACTCAATTTTAATGGCTGCCTTCCAGGGACCACTCTTTACTGAACTCATAAAACTCACATCACAACCACTTACATCCTAGCAGAGAGCCCTGCTTTCCCTCTATTCTCTTCATAAGCACGGAGACATACCGTTCCCACTCTAATATAACAAAGTACATTAACAATCTATACCAAGGGGCTCCATTTGTTGTGTTGGCAGTTTTTGTTCTTCCTTTCACCTCCTTAATGAGGTCCAGTTCCACTCACTGATGTCCTATAGCAGTCAGACAAACCAACATCTCACGTTCTGCCAGGAATCAAAAATAACATTAATTGCTTTCTATACTGTGTATCTATATTTAATGATAATGGATAATATCTCCAATAACTTTTTCTCAAAATTTGTTTCTCCATTTCCCCTTCCTTTGGAAAAATGCCTTCCTGAGAGTCTGTCTACATAGCTTGTTTTAAGAATGTAAATGCTGAGTCACCTTGCAAGTCTTATATGAAAATGAGTCCACGTAAGTGCTTTAAAAGATCCTAATTTTACCACCTGGAATGAGAATGAGTCCCACATAATTATTCAGGAGAGTTCTCTGTACAACCCCCAACTGGGAACACATGCAGCTAATGTGATTCTGCTCATGGACTCACAGATGTCCTGGCACTTCCTCAAGGGAGCAAGATTCTTTCCCCAGGGGACAGGACATTTCAGAAAAGTTATAGAGGGAGATACCTTTTTCTTCTACATCCACAAGGCTGCATAATTTATACCTTCTAGTACCGGTTAATCCACACCTGTGGTACAGTTCTGATTTTCCTAGACCTTTTAGATCTACAGTTTTTCTGAAGTCACATGGAAAGGTGCCAGAACAAGGTACAGGGCATCACTTCTTACACCATTCCCCTGCAGACGTTTATGACTCAGTATACCCTAAGCTAGACTAATATCTCTTTGTCATAACTTTCTGAAGATATAGAATGAGATAATCTATGCAAAAATACCTTGAAAGATACAAAGTGGTGTGCAAACTTAAGGTTTATTTAAAACCATTTATTTAAAACCATGGCTTATTTATCTTTGTATTCCCAATATCTAACACATTACTTGGTATACAGTAGGTTCACAGAAGATTATATGTATATATATGTATAATATATATAATAGTTATATATTTAACTATATATGCACATATATACACACACATAGAGAGAGACAAAGAGGGTTCTAAATCTAATAAGTACATTTGAGTATTGACAGATTTAGTTATCCTTTTTCTTCCTATTTTATTGTTATCATAACAAAAGTATTTAGCATTTGTCTTTGGTGTTATCACACCTCACCTGTTCCATGATCCTCTCATGTTACCCCAGCTTTCCCCAATATACAAACATATATTATGCCCAAGGCCTTTCTTGTTGGCATAGGGTATTCCCCACACAATCCTGAGCCCCTCAGATTTGTTACCACCAATCTTTTTCTTCCCACTTTCCTATCAGCTATTAAGTGGAGCAGAAATTCAAGTCCAGGTCTGTCTGTAAAGATCTTTTCACTAATCTCTACCCCTTCCCAAGAAATTCCTGGTTCTGATGACTCAATATTGCTGGAAGGACCTTCCTGGTATCTCTCATTTCACTCTTCATGTGGCACTGCCTCTCCCTCTTTGAGTGAAGCCAGTACTACTTAGAAGTCACCTTTATATGTCAGAAAGCAAGTGCGTCAAACTTTTAGAAACAAGGTTCGGGTGTCAAATTGAAACAAAAGCAAAGTACAGATTCAGCTGGGGACACAAATCCTCTCCTGAAATCATCCTCTGTTATTCATTCTTGCACTCTTAAGCCAGTGAGTGTGAGTGTCAGATTTGAGGAATCTTAGATACAGGAGTTGTGTTATCACCCCATGACTCAGGAGCCGCCCCTGATGAGTCACACATTGCTTCTGTCAAAGCAGTCAGCAAGGAGGCAAAAGTCATCAAATACGCCGAGAGCTCAGTATCGGTGATGGTGTGCAGCTTTTCCCTGTTTCTTTGAAGGACTCATCAAGGCCATCATCAATTGGAGCACAAAGAATGTAGGATGGATTTGTATGAGAACTTAGAGTACACAAGTTGTGGGAAAGTAAAATTGCCCAGTGGTAACATGAAACAGGGGCCTCCCAATTTTTTATTTATTAAGAAAAGAAAAAAAAAATCTTCTTTCCCTAAAGTTTTATCAGGTTGGGCTGGAGAAAAGACTGCTAAAAAAGGAACAGACTATGACAAGATAAAGATCACTCAGGCACAGTGACTCACACCTGTAATCCCAGAACTTTGGGAGGCCGAGGAAGCTGGTGGATCGCTTGAGCCCAAGAGACCAATCTGGGCAGCATAGTGAAACACCGTCTTTATTTAAAAATACAAAAATTAGGCCAGGCACGGTAGCTCCCAGCACTTTGGGAGGCCAAGGCAGAGGGATCACTTGAGGTCAGGAGTTCAAGACCAGCCTGGTCAACATGGAGAAACCCCATCTCTACTAAAAATACAAAAATTAGCTGGGCATGGTGGTGGGTCCTTGTAATCCCAGCTACTCGGGAGGCTGAGGCATGAGAATCGCTTGAACCCAGGAGGCAGAGGTTTCAGTGAGCCGAGGTCGCGCCACTGCACTCCAGCCTGGGTGACAGAGCAAGACTCTATCTCAAAAAAAAGACAAAAACAAATACAAAAATTAGCTAGGCGTGGCCGGGCACGGTGGCTCACGCCTGTAATCCCAGAACTTTGGGAGGCAGAGCCGGGCGGATCACAAGGTCAGGGGATCAGGAGATCGAGACCATCCTGGCTAACACGGTGAAACCCCATCTCTACTAACAATACAAAAAAAAAACAAAAATTAGCCGGGCATGGTGGTGGGTGCCTGTAATCCTAGCTACTTGGGAGGCTGAGACAGGAGAATGGTGTGAACCCGGGAGGCAGAGCTTGCAGTGAGCCCAGATCATGCCACTGCACTTCAGCCTGGGTGACAGAGCGAGACTCCATCTCAAAAAAAAAAAAAGAAAAAAAATTAGCTAGGTGTGGTGGTGCGCATCTGTAGTCCCAGCTACTGTGGGGAGGGTGGGAGGGGGCCTGAAGTGGGAGGACCACCTGAGCCCAGGGGACCCAGGCTGCTCTGAGCTATGACCCTGCCACCGCAACTCCAGCCTGGGCGATAGAGACAGACCCTGTTTCCAAAAAAAAAAAAAAAAAATCCTCCCAAACCCACCCCCAGGGTCCCTCCCAAACCCCTGCCTACAACTTAAGGAACTGTAATTGCAACAAGCCATTATATGTGGGAACCTATCAGTACAATTTGATGTGTTGGTTAGAGACTACTTAAAGTACATTTCTTAAGAGAATTTTAAGAAAAGGTACGCATACAGGTTTCCCAAATGCTTGAAATGTTGTCTTACTTAAAAGTAGAAAGGGAACTTCACTAGGTAAGTTTTGAAATTCTTTGCAAATCTAAATAAAAGTATAATAGAAATATATGAGACATTTGTTCTGAATATTTTTGTTGTTAATAATTATATTCTGTGAAGCTAAAACAAGATAAATGCTACAACAGGAGAGATGTCTTGAAATCTGGAGTGTTCCATGCAGCCATCTGAATTGGCCGTGTAAGCTAATAATTTCAAGCCAAAGATATTCTAGGGAGATAACTGAATATAGTCATGTGTTTGTTTTCCAATACCTTGAGCGTTGTCTAATAGAAATGATATGACCCACTTCAAAAAAGTTCTATAAATATTTATATTATTGAAATTAATTTCAAATTAAACTAACATATAGAATGCTAACTACTACTTGAGTTTCTTAAACGTCTTCTATTTTTAGTACAGCATAACTGTTTAATAGCTGGTTTTAGATCCCCAAACTGCACTACAGTGTTGGGGCAGGGGACCTCCTAAAAAGAGTATTACAATAGACATACATTTTATAGGACTTATTTATCTATCCTCCCTGGAAGACAGCATTGCAATGAGATTTTATTTCTTACTCTCATCCAGGGCTAGAACTTTATCAGGTCCCTGCCAGAGCTGAGTTCTGCTAGTTCCAGAAGGAAATCCTGTAAGTGGTTTAGTAAATGTTAAATAGAAACTGTGGGATATCTGAGTACATGAAATTCAAAAGTAATAGCTTAGTAATTCAAAAAAGAACCTCTGTGTCTCTCATGACTACATGTTAGGCTAAGTAAAAGATCCCTATAGTTTTAGCAGCTCAAATCCCACCCTACTTGCCACAGTCTTAAGCAATGTCTTCTCAGCAGCATTAACAAAAGCAAAGTGTGAAATATTTGCCTATTTCCTCATGGAAGGTCTCAACCCTCACTTACATGTGTTTGTTTCTTTGGACTCTGATCAAAACAGTTTCTGAGATAAGTGTCTAGTCATATCATTACACATAAAAATAGTTTTGATTTTTTTTTTTTTTTTGCCTGCCTGCAGACATTTTGTCTTCAACACCTCAAGGGCTTCAGCAAAACAATCTTTGCTCTTTCCAGTAATAATGGCCCAATTCAGTCAATCATAAATTTGACTCAAAAATGGCAATTCAATTTGGCTTCAGCTATACAAATTAACCCAAAATCTCCATAACAAGGAGAATATTTTGCAGAATGGAATAGGGAAAAAATACCTTTTTCCTTTAATGAAAAAAATGTGAACCTCTCAAATGGAGTTTAATACAAGTGATCTGAATTGGGTTTTAGTTTCAATCTCAGGTATTTTTTCCTTTTTACAGAAGACATAAGAAATAATAGTTATTTGCCTAAAATTTCATTGAAAATTATTTAGTTTAATCTTTCCTAGAAAGTCTGCAACTGATTCTCTAACTCAAAATTTTACTTGAGTAGGTAAAGCACTAAAACAAAGTTAATGCTACTTAACACTCATTTTATCCACAAGACTGTCCATATTAAATAGAGTTCAACTGTCTGTATTTTAAAGCATCAATCATTATTGTAAAATAAGTAGAATAACACTTCAGATATCTAGAACTCAACTATACAGAAACCTTACTTATCAAGAATACAAACAAGGATCCCAGAAGTTTCCAAGCTGCCAAAATAGATGCCACAAAATCAGTAAATAAAGCATGTGTCTAATATTTCAGGGGCAAGGAAGAGGTTTGCACCCTTTCTCTCTAGTTTTTCTGGCCAAGGAACTATGCATGAAAGGAACAACTGCATGGGAAATGAACACAATATTAGTTTCAAAAGGTCCATCTGGTCTGTCTTTACTAGCCCCCTGCACAACTTCTCTCATTAAGAGCAAAGTTTAAACATGAGGACTCCAACAAGAATCCTGTTCTCTTCCTCAGAAAACTAAGATTTGGGGGTCTCAGAATAGACCAAACATGGTGAAGTCACAGATGTAGAAAAGCCGAAACAGCAAGAGACAATGCAGGAGTTAGCACTAATGAGCCAGGTCTGTTTCTGGAACCTATTTGATCTGTTTAATACAAGAAAGTAAGTGAAAGGTTCTAGGGATAGGATATGGAAATGCATGGGTCATGGCATTGGAGGTATAGTAACACTCTCTACTTTAAAATATGACCCAATAAATGATCTGTGTTTTACTCAATTACATTATCAACTCCTCTCATAGGATATAAACAAGGAAGAAAAGAATAAAACTAGCTTGCTCCAACAATTTACTTAACACATTACATTGAAAGTAATGCCAAAAACCATGATAACTTCTGCACCAATCTAATATTAAGCTAAGACTCAGCATAAAGTAATATGGAATGTGCAAACTGTGGTAGGGAGAAGAGAGAAGATCAATAGGAGAACAATTTGAAAGTCAGGTCCATGGATAGCAATGAGCATTGAGAGTGTAGTTGAAACAGAATGAAGTATAACAGGCATTTGTGTATGCCCTTAAGCATAACCCTATGAACTCATAGTGGAGACAAAATAACTTTGCCCCTGCATGCTTCAGTGTGTTAGGAGTCAAAACATTTTCTAAATGTATGCTCTAGTTGTATGGTGAAGTCATGTAAATATTTACATGAAATAGTGTGTATCGTAACAATACCAGTTAATTTATATTTGTATACATTTAAAGTTTCTTTGGTAGATATGTAGATGGATAGATGAAAGAAAATATAAGTAGACAGGCTTTTGTGAGTAGGCAAATTTAAGACTTATTCAGTCATGGGGAACTAGAACAAACTAAATAGAAGAATTCAAGTGTTAAAATTCTTATTTTCTTACTTACATGTCTTCGTTTGCCATATTTTCCATATGCAAATATTTCTGGCAGGCTCAGTGCTTCTCTTATGATCTGAACCCTATATATGCTTTATAATTTGACTCTAATAGCATGGCTACTTAGGTTCTAATAAAATTCTACATATATGTCATACATTAAATTCATCCAAGAAATCATTATGGATTTCTCACGTGCAGAATGATTTATCACGTGGGTTGTACAAGCCCAGATTTTAATTTTGACTTGTATTGTTTCCTACATAGTAATTAGATAGAAAATTTAATCTAAATGCAAAGAAAATTTTAGATAGAGGAAAAGAGAGAAAGACAGTTAACAACAGAAATCCACCTAAGGTTTCCCAAAGCACATAATAACTATATTTTGTATATTTGTATTCCACATTATCTACGTTATTTGTCCCTGACAAGAAGAAGGATAATAGAGAGTTAACTTAACTTTTTAAAAATACAGTTGACTGGCCGGGCGCGGTGGCTCACGCTTGTAATCCCAGCACTTTGGGAGGCCGAGGCGGGTGGATCACGAGGTCAGGAAATCGAGACCATCCTGGCTAACACGGTGAAACCCCGTCTCTACTAAAAATACAAAAAAATTAGCCGGGCGTGATGGCGGGCGCCTGTAGTCCCAGCTACTCGGGAGGCTGAGGCAGGAGAATGGCGTGAACCCGGGAGGCGGAGCTTGCAGTGAGCCGAGATTGCGCCACTGCACTCCCGCCTGGGCGACGGAGCGAGACTCCGTCTCAAAAAAAAAAAAAAAAAAATACAGTTACTAACACAAAAGCAACCACTGAATTGTGAAACTCTGTAGTAATTCTAGCCCAGCTTTCTCAGGCATTTTCGCTGTGTCCAATAATGCATATCACTGATAAAATGCTAGACACGTATCTTCATTAACTTGAATTCATGGGTAAAATAGTATAGCCTTTGGAGACAAAAGTTAAGCCTACCATACTCTACTGTGTTTTGGTCCGAGTACTTGGAATCCATGGTTTGAACTTCTCTTTAAAAGTTGATACCTGTGGGATGTAAACAAAAATGGGTTCAATTTGTTCTGAATATTATCTACAGTTGAGGTCGTGAAAATCCACCTAGGTCATTAAAGGAAAAGAGACACTTTTCAAACCCAAATCATCTAAATATCAATGGGCCAATTCCAGGATACCAATAATCATAAAGATGAGTTACCCTAAAAACACTAGAAGCCTACCACCAATTGTTATTTGTTGAGTTTGTTCATTTTTCAGTCTTTATGGAGTGAATTAGTCAAATACATCCAAAATTACCAGAAGAATTTAAGTGGTTCATTTATTTCCCTCTTTGTTCGCTTTTGAGAACACAGTTTCTAAGGTTTCATCATGTCTAGGTTGGTACTTTTAAAATTCACAGTCTTGGCACCAAAGTTGGCCACCAGTATATTTTTATTTTCTTATGGATCTGTTTGGTACTAGATACATTCAGCTTTCTCAGCCCTGTTAGGCTCACATTATTTCAAAACACACCTGTTCATTGTAGAAATTTTGGAATATCCTACCACTCTTGAGTCACCCCATGTATGCTAATTCAGTTTCTTGTAAACGTGAAATTCATGCAGTAAGGCGCTCAACTAACATAAGACTTATAATCAAATCTTTGCCTTTAAATACTATATCTCTTACTTTCCAAAGAGCATTTAAGTAGGGGGGTCTCATTACCCTGTCTTAAGAACGGGTCAATAATTGAAAAGAGTTTCTCAGCCTTAATATTAGTAGCTCAGAGAACTGGGTAATCTTAAACTGAAAAGAAATATGACAAAAATTAGAAAATTTGAGGTCCAGAAAATGGACAGATTGACAGTATTAGAGGCAAAATCTGTAGCTGAACAAGTATTGAAAGATGAATGTGTTCTCTATTATTTCCTTGAGCAGTGATTTGTAATTCTCTTTGAAGTGGTCCTTCACTTCCCTTGTTAGCTGTATTCCTAGGAATTTTATTCTCTTTGTAGCAATTGTGAATGGGAGTTCATTCATGATTTGGCTCTCTGCTTGTCTATTGTTGGTGTGTAGGAATGCTTGTGATTTTTGCACATTGATATTGTACCCTGGGACTTTGCTGAATTTGCTTATCAGCTTAAGGAGCTTTTGGGATGAGACAATGGGGTTTTCTAAATATAGAAACATGTCATCTACAGAGACAGTTTAACTTCCTCTCTTCCTGTTTTAATACCCTTTATTTCTTTATCTTGCCTGATTGCTCTGGCCAGAACTTGCAATACTATGTTGAATAGGAGTGGTGAGAGAAGGCATCCTTGTCTTGTGTTGGTTGTCAAGGGGAATTCTTCTAGTTTTTGCCCACTCAGTACAATATTGGCTATGGGTTTGTCATAAACGGCTCATTATATTGAGATATGTTCCATCAATACCTAGATTATTGAGAATTTTTAACATGAAGGGATATTGAATTTTTGAAGGCCTTTTTCTGTGCCTATTGAGTTGATCATGTGGTTTTTGCCTTTAGTTCTGTTTCTGTGATGAATTACGTTTATTGATTTGCGTATGTTGAACCAGCCTTGCATCCTGGGGATGAAGCTGACTTGATTGTGGTGAATGAGCTATGCTGCTGGATTTGGTTTGCCAGTATTTTATTGAGGATTTTTGCACTGATGTTCATCAAAAATATTGGCCTGAAGCTTTCCTTTTTTATTGTATCTCTTCCCGGTTTGGGTATCAGGATAATGCTGGCTTCATAAAATGAGTTAGGGAGAAGTCTCTCCTTTTCTTTCTTTTTTCTTTTTTATTATACTTTAAGTTCTAGGGTACACAGGCACAACGTGCAGGTTTGTTACATATGTATACATGTGCCATGTAAAGTCTCTCCTTTTCAGTTGTTTGGAATAGTTTCAGAAGAAATGGTATCAGCTTCTCTCTGTGCCTCTGGTAGAATTCAGCTATAAATCCAGCTGGTCCTGGGCTTTTTTTTTTCTTTTTTTTTTTTTCTATGGAGTCTTGCTCTGTTGCCCAGGCTGGAGTGCAGTGGCGCAATCTTGGCTCACTGCAAGCTCCACCTCCCAGGTTCACGCCATTCTCCTACCTCAGCCTCCCTAGTAGCTGGGACTACAGGCGCCCACCAAATTGGTCCTGGGCTTTTATTGGATGGTAAGCTATTTACTACTGCCTCAGAACTTGTTATTGGTCTATTCAGGGATTCAACAGCTTCCTGGTTTAGTCTTGGGAGAGTGTATGTGTCCAGGAACTTATCCATTTCTTCTAGATTTTCTAGTTTATTTGCAGAGAGGTGTTTATAGTATTCTCTGTGGGGTTGCTTGTATTTCTGTGTGGTCAGTGGTGATATCCCCTTTATCATTTTTTATTGTGTCTATTTAATGCTTCTCAATGGAAAAACATTTCATACTCATGGATAGGAAGAATCAATTTTGTGAAAGTTGCCATACTGCCTAAAGTAATTTATAAATTCAATATTATATCCATTAAACTATAATTGAAGGCATCATGCTACCCAACTTCAAACTATATTGCAAGGCTACAGTAACCAAAACAGCATGGTAATGGTACCAAAACAGACACATAGACCAATGGAACAAAATACAGGTCTCAGAAACAAGACCACACATCTACAACCATCTGATCTGTGACAAATCTGACAAAAACAAGCAATGGGGAAAGGATTCCCTATTTAATAAATGATGCTGGGAAAATTGGCTAGCCATATGCAGAAAACTGAAACTGGACCACTTCCTTACACCTTATACAAAACTTAACTCAAGATGGATTAAAGACTTAAATGTAAAACCCCAAACTAAAAAATCCTAGAAGAAAATCTAGGCAATACCATTCAGGACATAGGCACTGGCAAAGATTTCATGACAAAAACATCAAAAACAATTGCAACAAAAGCAAAAATTGACAAATGGGATCTAATTAAACTAAAGAGCTTCTGCACAGCAAAACAAACTATCATCAGAGTGAACCTACAGAATGGGAGAAAATTTTTGCAATCTATACATCTGACAAAGGCCTACTATCCAGAATCTACAATTAACTTAAACAAATTTACAAGAAAAAAAACAACCCCATCAAACAGTGGGTAAAATATATGAACAGACATTTCTCAAAAGATGTACATGCAGCCAAAAAACTTATGAAAAAAAGCTCAACATCACTGATCATCAGAGACATGCAAATCAAAACTACAAAGAGACACTGTCTCATATCAGTTAGAATGGTGATTATTAAAAAGTCAAGAAACAATAGATGCTGGCAAGGTTATGGAGAAATAGGAACAACTTTACACTGTTGATGGGAATGTAAATTCATTCAACCATTGTGGAAGACAGCATGGCAATACCTCAAAGATCTAGAACCAAAAATATCATTTGACGCATAAATCCCATTAACTATCTTATACCAGTTAGAATGGTGATTATTAAAAAGGCAAGAAACAACAGATGCTGGCAAGGTTATGGAGAAATAGGAACGCCTTTACACCATTGATAGGAATGTAAATTCGTTCAACCATTGTGGAAGACAGCATGGCAATACCTCAAAGATCTAGAAACAGAAATACCACTTGACCCAGAAATCCCATTACTGGGTACATATCCAAAGAAATATAAATCATTCTATTACAAAGATACATGCATGCGTATGTTCATTGCAGCACTATTCACAATAGCAGATATGGGATCAACTCAAATGCCCATCAATGATAGACTGGGTAAAGAAACTGTGGTACATATACACCATGGAATACTATGCAGCCATAAAAAGGAACAAGATCATATCCTTTGCAGGGAGATGGATGGAGCTGGAGGCCATCATCCTCAGCAAACTAACACAGAACAGAAAACCAAATACAGCATGTTCTCACTTATAAGGAGGAACTGAACAATGAGAACACATGGATGCAGGGAGAGGAACACCACACACTGGGGCCTGTTGTGGGGCAGAGGGAGGGAGAGCATCAGATAAATAGCTAATGCTTGTGGGGCTTAATACCTAGGTGAAGAGTTGATAGATACAGCAATCCACCATGGAACACATTTACCTATTTAACAAACCTGCACATCCTGCACATGTATCCTGGAAAATAAATTAAAAAGTTAAAATTAAAATTAAAGATAATTTAACATGGAGAAAAAGAAAGATGAATAAATCTCAGGCATTGTTGCAATAATGTTTATGTGATAAGTATTCATTTTGAGAAAAGTTACATTTGAATGCACTAGGCTGTAGTGTCTCAACTCTTTTTTTCCCCCGCATTGTATTCCACATATCAGATGATGCTTATATAAGCTACACAATTCCATGGAAAAAGTTTGTTCAAAAAACAGGTTTCAAAAAAGGAAAAGAAAAGAAAAATCAGAAAAATATTGTTTTTTTTTATGTTAACATAGAATTCAAAAAAGTGTTTTTAAAGCATGAGAATTAAATCATATTTTTAAAGATCTCAAAAATTATTCTTAAAAAGAAATAAATGTGGCTAATATTGTCTTTAGTATGAAACATTTCTTAAATATGAATTTTGAACTTTCTAGAATTCAACAAATATCAATGTTAGTAATTATAATACTAAAGGATATTTGTAAATAAATATTTTTATTACAATATATAGAATGTACAGGCTGTAACCTCTTTTTATATAAAGAGCATCATTCTTCTCAATAAGACAAATATGTATTTAATATTGTAAGCACCCTTGCTTTATCTAGTCTCATCTTCTTTTCATTAAAAACTTATTCATGGATAAAATTTAAAAGACAATGGAGGTAACTGTTACGTCAAAATTTACAACTGCTACAAAACTGCCTTAAGCACACACTGTTAACCTTGTGGTAATAGTGACCACTCACTAGAGGGTACTGAATCCGTGTAGTTCTACCTATACATTCAAGCTCTACCTATAACTTCTGTTGCTCCTCTCAAAACATGTCAGAATGTACCTGAATGCAAGAGATTTCACTGTGGGAATAACACTGAATCCTTTTAGATAGATGAAAAGTTGTCATTCCTGAAGGTATACTTTGACTATTATTAGTAATAGTGTACTTGCTGCCCTGCTCAAAGATACAGATATTGTGGTAGCTGCCTCAGTTGAGAGCATTGTCACGAAACTGTTAGCTCCTTGACTTTCCAGTATTGGGTCCTATTCATGTCTCCACCAGCATGTGGTACAAGTAGGGCACATTGTCAGCATTCAATAATTGTGGGTGAAACTCAACTCCACTCCATTAGGTGAACCTACCATTGAAGAATGGTCTCCCTTAGTTAATTGCAAATGAATCCTGCCAAACACAATTTCTTCCTCCAGACTGGCTGTCAGCACTTTTAATCCATAGAAAAGTAAGCATGCTTACAAAGGAAAAAAACAAAAACAAAACAAAACAAAACAAAAAAAAAACAGCTTACTTTCATAAAGTTTTGGAATGATTCATAAATTTTTTATAAATATGTGATATTTTGGTCTTCTGCATTTTGTCTTGTCTTTATCGAGATTTCATCAATGCAGAGAGAGTGAGGTGGTTGCTTACATTTGAAAGTTTTGTGTTTGTAAATGTGTATGTGTTAGAAAAAGCATTGTCTAAAAATGTCTCTGGAAGAAATCCAGTAATAGAAAGATGTTGATTCTATGTGAACAATGACATGACAGGTACATCTTAAAATGTGAAATTCACAATTTAAATCCTGATTCTTGAGGAAGAGATTTTGTTTCCAACCACGGTATCCCAACTTCTCACAATTAAGATTTCCAAAATAACTTTTTAAACCTCTGGAATTTTAATAAATGGGCCCTTATTCTTCAATCCTTTTTCCCATTCAAGAAACAAAATTTTCAAATCCCTTCTCTATCTCAGTTGAATGCCTACAATAGTCAATACATAATATTAATTCACCAAATGTTTTAAAAACTATTTTAAATGTTTACAAAACTTTGCGAAATGAATAAAGCTACTTTTTCTTTTTTAAAACACATATTTTACCTTAGTGAAAGTATGTAAAACACCCCAAAGGGAGCAGCAGCTATTAGATCACACTGAGATAGTTATGTCCAAAAGTAGTATGACTTTTTTCCCCCTTTTTTGGCACAACTGAGTTGGAATGACTATTAAATTATGATAAAATAAGGTAACATTTTATAAAATTCCCAATTTCATACAAAGCAGCATTTCCTAAACTTCCACAATCTCAATTGCATATTAAATTTCAATGTCAGTACCAGGTTAATTTTCTAAAAACACTCTTTAGAAAAGAGGTTTATTGAATGTCTTTTATGTGTTCAGCATTATGCTAAGCAATTTTCATATATTATCTAATTTAATTCTCACACTATAAGATAAATACCATTAAAGTCCTAATTTTACAGCAGAGAAAAGGAGGTTTGGAGAGATTAAGAGATTTATCCAAGGTAACACAGCTGTTGCATGGTAGAACTATATTTTAAACACAGGCCATTTTAACTTCAAAACCCAAACTACTAACCATCTTGCACTCCTCTGCAAAAAAAAAAATCAGTTTGGGTTTCCTGTTACTTATTGGACAAAGAAAGAGCTTATAAAATCTCAAAGTTAGAATCAATTTTGTTGATCCTTTTGTTCCCTATAAGTTTCCTCCCTCTTCTCTGATGGATCTAAGACTAGTGTAGATACTAAAGTGCTAAGGTTGATGGGGGCAAGAATAGTGTCTTACTTCTGACTGTTACTCCTCATCACACAGGACTTTGCCTTTTACACAATAAAAGAGCAATTGATGTTTGATTCACATTCTTTTTTCTACTTTTCAGAGTAAGGCCTTTTACAGTATAAGCCATATCTGAGCTTATTCAAGGTTGTGTCTTAGTCAAGAAATACAGTTTTATGGATCACCGAATATATGCTTTTCTGATTTTCTCATTCAAGAAATTTTTGAATGAATGAGTGAAGTTTGCATATATTTTCCCCATGCAATAAGTAAAGGGTTCCCAAAATTCAAGATCTTACTAGATCTGTAGGGAGTTTATTTACAATTCATGCCTTCTAATAATTTAAACAGACTGAAAAGAAACCTATACAAGTTAATATGTTCCTGGTTTCAGTGACACACTGTTTTACAGTCCATATGGAGTAGAAGGCCATCAACTTACATTTATCACTTCAGTGCAATATCTCCTTTAAAACACTCCTAGAAAAAAGACAAGATCAAATTATTTCTCTTTGCTGGTAATATATTCTATACCTAGAAAACCCTAAAGACTCTGCAAAAAGTCTCCTAGAACTAATAAATGATGTCATTAAAGTTTTCAGATACAAAATCACCATACAAAAATCGATAACATTTCTATACACAACAACTAGCTGAGAGCCAAATTAAGAACACAATCCCATTCACAATAGCTATAAAAAAAACATAAAATACCTAGGAATACATCTAACCGAGGAGATGAAAGATTTCTACAAGGAGAACTACAAAACACTGCTGAAAGTAATCATAGACAACACAAAGAAATGGAAAAACATTCCATGCCCATGGGTTGGAAGAATCAATATCATTAAAATGGTCATACTGCCCAAAGTAATCTACAGATTCAATGCCACTTCTATCAAACTACCAACAAAATGTT